>NC_000005.10:166367384-166670414 GCF_000001405.40 Homo sapiens | reverse complement strand
CTGGAAGTTTGGAAATTTGGTTAAGTGCATGAAAATCATTATTCATATTAACAATAACCCCAGGTATTGGGCTCCTACTGTGTGCCATCAACACTCTATATGCAATAGCTCTTTTAATGTAATCTTTTAAAACAAGCCTAAGAGGGGACATTATGAAGACTGGAGAAGTTTCTGGAGTCCACACAGACAGAAAATATCAAGAGACATGGGATGAGAACCTATATCTAAATTCTTCCACAGTTTGTGCCTCTTGCTACTTTATACCAATGCTTCATCCCCAATAGCAGCTATTTCTACAGATATAAAAACAAAAAATCCCCACACAACTGATTTGATAGCATGGATGAATACCACTGCTACTTAATTTCTATGCATTAGAATACATTAAACTATATTTGACTTTGTGAATCCCTAGGATTAGGGAAAAAACTCTTTTCAGGAGGATTGCTAGGAACTATGGATGTGGAGTATCTGCAATGGGAATTGGGTAGATGGCACAGTACTGAAGATTCATAATAACTACAATCTCCAGCATTTCATGGATACTTACTATGCGTCCAACATCACCATACATGCTTTTGTGCCTCTTGCAGTTAATTTTTAGTACAAACTTACAAGATGCCAATTCATTCATTCGCTGGACAAACATTCCTTCATTGAACAAATAATGAGTACCTACTAAGTCCCAATAACTCTTCTGAGTATCAGGAAAACAGGAGTGAAAAAGCAGAAAGAGGCCTGGCTTACCTTTCAAGTGAGGGAGGTGGAACATAAACATGTAGAAAAACAGTAAATCAGATGATTTAGGATAGTTGGATGGTCTCTGAAATAAATTAAACCCGGTGATGTGCCAGGCAGTAACTAAGAGGAAGCTAGTTAGATGAATGAATGGTCTGTCTGAAATAGGCTTCTTTTGGTGACATCTGAGCTGAAGTCAGAAAGTTATAAGGAACCAGCTGCAAGAAGAGAGTAGAGGGTTTCAGGCACCAAACTGTTACCAGAAAGGGGTCCCAATCCAGACTCCAAGAGAAGGTTCTTGGATTTCACTCAAGAAAGAATTTTGGGCAAGTCCGTAGAGTAAACTGAAAACAAGTTTATTAAGAAAGTAAAGGAATAAAAGAATGGCTACTCCATAGGTAGAGCAGTGGCATGGGCCACTCAGCTGCTTATACTTATTGTTATTTATTGATGATATGCTAAACAAAGGGTAGTTATTCATGAGTTTTCCGGGAAAGGGGTAGACAATACCGGGAGCTGAGGGTTCCTTTCTCCCCTTTTTAGAACGCATTGGGTAACTTCCTGACGTTGCCATGTTATCTGTAAACTGTCCTGGCACTGGTGGGAGTGTCTTTAGAATGCTAATTCATTATAATTAGCATATAATGAGCCATGAGGACAACCAGAGGTCACTCTTGTCACCAACTTGGTTTTGGTGGGTTTTGGCTGGCTTCTTTACCACAACCTGTTTTATCAGCAATGTCTTTATTAACTTTTATCTTGTGCTGACCTCCTATGTCATCCTGTGACTTAGAATGCCTAACCTTCTGAGAATTAAACCCAGCAGGTCTCAGCCTTGTTTTACCCAGCCCCGATTCAAGACTGAGTTGCTCTGGTTCAAATGCCTCTGACAATACCGTATGAGGAGAATGAGTTTAGTGTGCTAGAAAATGGGAGGAAAGTCAGTGCAGTTGGAGCCAGGTCTGGGAGGGTAAGAGAGGCACTAGAGCCAGATAGTTCTGTAGCCTTATAGACCTGGACAGGGATTTAGAGTTTATTCTGAGTAAATGCAAACTCATCAGAGAGTCCTGTGCAGGTGAGTGACATGATCTCATTTAGCATTTCCAAAGATCATTCTGTCTTCCCAGCAATGCCCAGTGGGGAAGGTGAGGGAGCCGGGGGGTCGGCAAAAATGAAAGCTGGGAAGTGGGGCACAAAAGCATGGATTCCTATGAGAAGCTGACTTGTTTTAGGGCAGGACCTTGAAAGTAAGTGCTATTATTATTCCCACTTCATAGAGGAGGGCATTAAGACTTGGAGTGATTTAGTGTTTGCTCAAAGCCCCATAGCTATGGGGATGGGGGCGCTGATATCAGAACCTCATCACTCTGACTCCAGAACCCCAACTCTTACCTACTGTACTGTATCCCTATGGAGCATGGAGAGAGCCATTTCTGTTTCTTGGAATTCCTTTTTGCCAAGAACCCTATCAAACCATGCAGAGGAGGGTGTGGCCATATCATTAGTTTTAGCATCTACCAGCTGATAGATGTTAACAATAATTAGAACCTTATTCCCATTTATTGGCTAATGAACCAACCTCAAACATATTCAATCGCACAGAAATTGTTTTTCTGATGCATTTCCCCTTTCAAAGAAGCTTCTCTTTATTAGAGACAAAGGGTAACATGATCTTTTAGGTCAGCACGCATATTTGTTCTTCAGAAACATCAACTATTTTGATGACTAGGAAGTGGGGTACTGCATATGTACCACCAGCACAACTACAGAGAAAGTTGAGTAAAGCTGACTCTGAAAAGTCTTAAGTGCCTAGAGAAAAAAGGAATTGACTGACAAAAAAGTGCCTCGCACTACATGATGCAACTCTCATTATTCACAATGAAGGAGGCTTTTAACCTCCAAATTCATATTCTTCATTTCCTGTGCAGTGGTCCTTCAATTTCCCAGCCTCCAGGTCTTTTGGGTCAGATCCCCTTAAACCCTGGCATCCAAAGCTGGCTGTGAAAGCCACTGACCTCTATAGCTCTCTTAACTGGTCATTCTACCATTCTTCTAAGTGAATGATTCGTTTCTGCAAATACAGTGCTTTCTCTAAGCCTCCAAGAAACAGTTAATGCTGGTGATTAATTCCCCTTCCCTACATGCTCACTTCAAAGACACTCGCCCTTAGTGGGCTCTGTAGTTTATTATCTCTTCTTTTGAAGCTAGCAAAGTTTAGTTTGCTTTAAGATAATAGTTCTCTCTCTTGAATATTAATGAAGAAAATCAAGTTTGAAACACATTAGGGTAAGTGACATAAAAAGCAATCAAGAATGTATAATATCCCTGATTCTCTTCCAACACAATGTTTGAACAGGAAGGTATTTATTGAATGCCTACTGTGTGCTAATCTCTTATATGAAATGCATAGTAATTAATACTCTAAGTAGAAAAAATCCCATTTAGACTTAAGGATTAGAATATGCATTTTAATTGATAATTAAATGCATTTTATAGTAAGTACCAATGGAAGGGTGTAAACAATTCCTTAATCACGGAGAACTCTTAATGGAGTTGAGACCAAATTGACACTGTCAAGGAGGACTGGGAGTAGGCAGGCACTACTAACTGCTCCCTTGATTCAGTATCTCCCTTTTCTATTTAGAAAGGGAAATCCCAGATAGAGACAGTATTTCCCTTAAAGTGAGGCCATGTAACTATGTTTTGTTCACTGAGAAGTAATGTATGCAAATTTCTGATGGAGTTTTAAAAGGAAGCTGTGGCCGGGCACGGTGGCTCCCAGCACTTTGGGATGCCGAGGTGGGTGGATCACTTGAGATCTGGAGTTCGTGACCAGCCTGTCCAACATGGTGAAACCCTGTCTCTACTAAAAATACAAAAATTAGCTGGGCGTGGTGGCAGGCCCCTGTAATCCCAGCTACTCGGGAGGCTGAGGCAGGAGAATCACTTGAACCTGGGAGGCGGAGGTTGCAGTGAGCCAAGATTGCGCCACTGCACTCCAACCTGAGCGACAGAGTGAGACTCTGTCTCAAAAAAGTAAAAATAAAAGGAAGTTGTTTGTCCTCCACCTCCTCTTTTTCTCCATCCAAAAGGCTGGAATGTGGACATGTTGCTAATAAGCTGGTTTAACCGTGAGAAATGACAGCATCCTAGGAGGTAATGGTACAGGCAGATGGGAGTCACTCAGATCCCCGGGTGAATGCTCTCGCAGAACTGCAACTTCCTAATCACCCACCTATCTCCAGATTGCTACAGGAGAGATAAACAAAACTTCTATAATAGAGCCACTGCCTTTGTGTGCCTCTGGTTTACATCGACTTAGGCAGTACCACAACGAATAAAAGGACGCTGGGATGAGGCGTTCAGCTAATGCTCATTGGTTTGTATTTAGATAAGTGAAATGGAAGCAGTAAGTAGAGTGAATTGATGTCAAGAGTTAGGAACACTAAAGCTGAGATAACAAACCCCATGACCTAAAAAGCTATTAAATAAAGCAAATTAATTGGCTAGAGGACCTACAGACTTCTATCCTGAAAGAAGAGAAATAGAGAGTAGAGAGGAGGAGAAAGAGGAGGACGTAGCGATGAAAAATTATTTAGTAAACCACTATGTGCAGCTCACTTTGTTTGCAGATTATGGACCAAACAGTAAAATAAAATCATTCTTCCCTGGCAGTTATGCAAGGTAACTGCTACCACCTGACTGTCTTCTATGTGGCATGTTCAAATTCTGGTAGAAAAGATCTCTTGCAAGCAGAACACCTCATTCTTGCTTAACTTGGGCAGTGAAATAATGGTTAAGAGCTCAGGAGCAATGACAGGGAGATGAGCTTGCCAAGAGATTTAGATAATAGAAAAAAGACGTGGGCATCTATAAAATATGAGAAGCTCTGAAACAGTATCTTGGTTTAGGAACTTGCAGAATCAGAGCAGTTTCTCAGAGGGGTTTATTAATCTAACAAATCCGTGTTCAAGTTTTACTGCATGGCAAGCATGTTGAGATTAATCTGATTGTGGTAGCACAGAATGTATGGCAACTTTCCCAATAAAATCATCACTTCAGAAGCGGGTGAAATGGACATCTATGAAATGTGGGGCAGTGGTCATTGAAAAGCTAAAATTAAAAGAAAAGGTTTAAGAAATAGTCATGTTTATTTTAATCTAAAATGTTGTTTTCAGTAACTAACATTTGAACACAACTAATGCTCCAAGAAGATGTGTCATATTTTTACAGCGTCTGTTCCCCACCTGGCACATTTTCCTGTGCCCTGAGTCCCATGAGGCACCTTTGATGTTAGGGGCAAGTGTGAAGTATCAAAGGGCAAAGTGAAAAATGGAAATATGATGGCTTTGTGGCTCTCTGTCTTATTTTCACATTTTCTTTTTCTAGAAGCTTTTGTTGTGGTCTTCGCAACGGTCAGGTCATCAAAATACCTTCAATAGAAAAAGTTAGATGACTGCCCCTGCTGTTTTCCTAGTTAGACTAGTTATTCTAATAGGTCTTTTGGGAAAGAGATATTTAGATGGTGTAGTGGGTTGAGGTAACCCTAACTTAGAACCTCAGAATGCAACCTTCTTTGGAAATATTATCTTTGCAGATGGAATTAAGGTCATTTCATCTACTGAGTTAAGATGGGTCTTAAATCCAATGATTGGTGTCCTTATAAGAAAAGGAGAGGAAAGGAACAGATTTAGTGGAGACAGTGACCCGGGGAGGAAGGAGAAGTGAAAATGGAGGTGGTGATAAGCGTGAGGTATGGATAAGCCCAAGAGCGCCAAGGCTTGTTGGGAGCCACCAGAAGTGAGGAGAAGGCAAGCAAGGACTAGTCCTTGGAGCCTTAAAGGGAACAGGGCTCTACCCACATCTTCATTTCAGATTTCTAGCCTCCAGACCTGTGAGGCAAAACATTTCTGTAGTTTCCTGCCACTCAGTTTGTAACAATTTCTTATAGAAGTCCAGGGCAACTAATACAGATGGGCAGAATAAAGGATTGGCCTGGAGACTCCCAGGAAAGATCCCAGTCCTCAGCCAAAGGGGCGTCAGGTGTGAGGCTGTGAGGGCTTGGACATAGTAACAAACGCAGAAATAAAGAGGTTAGTTATGGGCAATATCACATACATTGTCAATTAATCAGAATAAATAAATGCTAACAATAGAATTGGGGAGTAGGAAGAAGCAAAAATATAATAGGGGACTGTGAGGAAGAATTCTGCATTGAGGATTTAAAAAATCACTCTAGGCCAGGCACAGTGGCTCATGCCTGTAATCCCAGCACTTTGGGAGGCCAAGACGGGTGTATCACCTGAGGTCAGGAGTTCAAGACCAGCCTGGCCAACATGGTGAAGCCCCGTCTGTACTAAAAATACAAAAAATTAGCCGGGTGTGGTGGCAGGTGCCTGTAATCCCAGTTACTCAGGAGGCGGAGGGAGGAGAATCGCTTGAACCCGGGAGACGGAGGTTGCAGTGAGCTGAGATCACGCCATTGCACTCCAGCCTGGGCAACAAGAGGGAAACTCTGTCTCTCAATCAATCAATCAATCAATCAATCACTCTAAAGATTCGGAGGCTCCTTCCCTAGGAGAGAATTCGGAGAGAACGCACTGCAGAACGAGGGAGATGGCTTCATCCTGAACTTGGAGGTTCACGTGGGACTCTCAGAACTATACTCTTGGAGGGTTACTTTAACTGTGTTTTAAATAGATCTTAGAGTCTGTGATCTTTCAGAGGGCTCAGGCAGACACCGTTTTTTAAGGCACTAATTATACTAAAAAAATAAAGAAATTGCAAAATTGTATTTTTAAAGTAGTGGTTGCTTTTCAGTATTTTATTTAACAGATTATATGTATTTGTCCATGTGCATTTGAAGATAACTTTTAAATGTGAGGTTTTAAAGAATGTTAGCTCCAGGTTACATAATCCTGCTGTGGGTGTCTCGCTCCACCTACCCTCACCCCACCTGGACCCTGTTAAAGACCTTTCTTCCTAAGCAAAGTTAAGGTCAGAATCAGGTTGTTGTCTCTCTTTGTGCTCCCTTCTATCCTTATTTTAACCATGATCCCAAATGAGACTGGATTAGAAGGAAGAAGACATTTGGCTACTATTTGTTTATATAGAACTGCCTCCTTTTTTTCTGGGTCACTTCACAGAACTGGAACTTTAGTTGGCAGTTAGAGATCACGCCATGGTGACCTTAAATAAGTATTTTTTTTTTTTTTAAATAGCTCAACTCAATCACACACACACAAAAATTGTTTTAGTGCCAAAAAGTGACAGCAATATTTTCCCAGGATGAAAATGTGTTTTCAGCCAACAGCCAAATGGAAACCTGCATTAGCAGATAAAGTACAAATCATCTCAACTCTAGGACAGCTGTTTTTGTCAAAGACAAATTCCTGAATAAATAGAGTTCAGTGGTGTACTCACAAATAGTCTATTCACATGAGAAAACCAATCACAAGAGATCTTTCAGGAAAACTGGCAGAGTCTGGCTAGGCAAGCTCCAGGCCTCTGCCTACCTGCAAAGTGAATCATTCATTATCCTCCCAAGTAGGCACAATCTTCAGCTCAGGGCAAGGGTCAATAGCAATGCTGAATGATGGAGGCCTAAGTTTATGGCTATATGCACTTTCTACCTGGTCTACGAATAAAAAGGCAGAGCTACCTCAGCATTATCATTCCCCTGACCTTCATGAGTGGAGCTGTCCCAGCAGGGGAAAAAAACAGCGGGGGAAGAAAAGGGAAAATTAAAATGTTAAAAACTATATTATAGCTCGTTTGTGACCTTTAAGAAAAAATTAGACTTGAGAATGTTAGGTTGGAGTGGATACACCAAAGTCTGACAGCTGTAAAGGTATAGATTTCTTTTCCTGAGTAGCTTTCTACCAAAATCTGGAGCAATAAGCAGACCCTGCGCATTTCTTGCTGGCTGACAGCAAAGACAATTGAGAATTTTGATCACTGCTTAACTGTTGGAAGAAATTTGCCTAGAAGTTCTGAGCATTCCTCTCTTCTGTGAGCTATTTGCAGGGTTTGTCAAAGAGTCAGTTCCTATTAATAAGACGATGCAAAATGCCACAGATTGAAAGCTACGCAACAATATCCTTTTTCCTGATACTTCCATGTTAGTTGGTTTGTTAAGTGAATGCACCAAGACAAGCAAACATTTGAAGCCACTAGTGTTATCATGAGACTATTTAAAAAAAAGTCTGCATTAGAAATGATGACAAGTGTCAATATATTCCAACTACCTAGAGCACTCGAATTTAAAAACCAAAATATGATTGTTGTTAGGGCCGTGTGCCCAACCCTGAAGACGTACTGCTGCTATGTGCAGGATGAAAGGATTTTATTGTCCCTAAGAAAGAAGCCCTTAGGTTTTCTAGGTATCTTCATCCTTGACAATAAACACACCAGCAAACAAACAAATCCACCCAGGATTTTATGACAATTAAGCATTTCTTTTGCTCTAAACAAAATGATCTTTCTACTTGGTGAAGGGGAAAAAAATACAGGTTTTTTTTTTTTCACTTTCTTTAACAACTTTGGGTAATCAACGTTAGCTCATGTGGCTTACTTTAATTCTCAAACATTTTATAATCTCTCTTTACTCACTAAAGGGTGTTTTATTAGGTTACTGATATTTCTAAAGAGTCATTTAATTTCTACCATTTTTGCAGATTGGATCATCACAAACAAATCTATTTAACCTCTAGGTTTAAACTTGAGGTAAAGGTAATTTTAGAGTAATATTTTTAGATGATGTACTGACCGCACGGAAGAAACATCATTAAAGGTCAGTCAAAATTAATATGGAGATCACCAAGTGTCAGAAGTTATTTTGCAGAAGTTGCAGAATACGTTTGCAATCTGATTTTGTGGAATATCTATTACAAATGAGAAAAAACCTCAGTGGTTTTTGCAGAATCCCATTTTCTTAATAGGAAATTGATGAATGACAGCATCTGGCACGAAGAAAAAAGCATATGGTCTAACTAACTGTTTCTATAGAGGTTAAAAACAGCTTTGGAATTTCTCTGGTTGCTGTTTTGATTGACAGACCATCAAATAAATCATTCACTTTTCTTCCCCTTCCAATGGTCCCATGTACTGACAAAGACACAAGGGAGAAATCAGCGGTGTGGTGCATGAGAAATTAGACATGCAATGCCCATTAACATAAATAGATTTTTTTGCACCTAATTCTCTACACACCGTGCAAAAATCTACCCACAGGACATGGAGCATGCATGTTTTCTTGTTCTATTTATAATTTTTAATTATTAATTTAATATATAATTGGTTTCTTTAGAGAATGGAAAGCCTAGTAGGTTATCTAAAACACTGTAGCAGAGTCTTGGGGCTTGATCCTGCAAAAAGATGGGCTGATACTGAAAGATGTTATGGTATGTAATACAAACAATGAAAATTAGACTGAGAGGTCTTGAATGGAGTTAGGCTAATTAAACAATTCTCAGTGTTTAAATTCATGCTATCTTCTCCAGGGTATACTGCCAATCATCTCGTCTTGGGGGATTGCTCTGGTTTGCCCTCACCTCCAGGCTCAATTAATAAATGTAAACCTCAGATAACTTATCAAATATTTTTACTATACAAACGAAAAATATTTTGGTGTTTTCGACTCAATTTCTCTCTCTCTCTTCTTTTTTTTTTTCAAAGTCAGATTTAATACTCATAAGAGAGCAGTGCTAAAAGGAGGAAGCTTGCCTCATCTATTCATCACATGTCCTAGAATCTCTCCTTCCTCATTCATCCAGTTTTGGCCCAGGCTTTGTCTGTCCACCTACAGTGACCAGAAACTTACCATTTCATGAAGCAGCTTATTCTGTCATTGATCCAGTTCTGTTATGGCCCCTGACCTTCAAGATGGCCCCAGTGTTCCCCTGTTCCTGGTATTCATGCTGTCATATACTTGACATTGATAGGGCTTACCTGTGTACCAAGAGGATATTGTAGAAGCAATGATGTGTGGCTTCCAAGACTAAGTCACAAAAGATAATACAGTTCGTGACCTACTTATGTCTTGGATCATTAGTTCTTGGGGAAGCTAGCTTCCATGGTGTGAAGACACTCAGATAACCCCGGGAGAGGTCCTTTCATGGGGAGCCACATGTAGAGAGACAATGAGGCTTCCTTCCAGCAAACAGCAGCCACTGGCCAGCCATGTGAGCTAGCCACTTAGTGGATCACCCAGTCTCCAGTCTCAGTTAAGCCCTCAGGTGGCAACAGCTTTGGCCAGCAACTTGACTGTAACTTTGTGAGAGACCTCAAGCCACAACCACTCACTGACCCACAGACACTTTGAGATAATGTTTATTGTTGTTTTAAGCTACTGAGGTTGGAATAATTTTTATGTAGCATATTTGATAGAGAATATGTAAGTGACTAATACAGATTGCATTAAAATCTTTCTTCCTAGCAAACCCATTGAAGACTCAGGAAATCAATGAAATTCCCTTTTCATACGATAGTGAATTCCAGATGCTAGTCTTTCTGATGCTTGCCTTCTCTGAGTAGAACATTCTCAGTCCCTTCAGTCCTTTGTCCCCGCTCTGCTTCTCACTCCACATCTTCTTTCTAAGTCAAGCCTTCAGACATTATTACACTGATGTCTTCTACACTGTACACTTATATTTCTTGCTCAGTTCTCCCTGATGGCCTACAAGTGCCTCAGACTCACAGGATCAGAATTAAGCACCTCACCTGTCATTTTCATCCAATTCTGCTTTCCAAATGTTTGGTCTATATTGCCTAAGTGCACTACCAGCCACTCAAATTTCCAAATCATAAACCCAATGTATCTTATGCTCCTCTTTGTAACACAGAATTCTGAGCACAGCACTCCCTTGCTTAAGATTCCTTTGGAACTCTGTATTGCCTTCAGGATAGAATGAATCCAAACTTCTAAGCATGGCAATCAAAGACTTCATAATCTGGCCAGTGCCTAGTTTTTCTAGCCTCTTCTATCACTTTCCATAATTCACTCCAGTCATACCAAACTAGCTTTGCACATGCTATTCCTTATGCTTTGAATGCTTATTTCTTGCACTGACTCTCCACCTAAAGGAGAAGGCATATTGACTCTTCAAGATGTGCCTTCTAACTAAAACCTTCCCTATTTCCCTCTTCGCTGCATTGTTTCCTCTAACTCTTTAGAGTTCTTATCATGTTTGATCTTTTGTTTATACAGGTATGATCTAATCTGATTTTCTAGAGTGGGCATGTCTTATACATATTTAGGTTTTTAAAATATGCAGCTACTCAGAAATATTTATTGAGCTCTTCTTTATACTGCCTGCCAGTGACTATTGGTAGGTGCTAAGGATACAGCAGTTAACAAGACAGATACAATTCCTGTCCTTAAGAAGCTTCTATCCTAGTGAAAGACACAGACAGCCAGTCAAGTAGGCTTGTAAATACATAGTGTATCAGATGGTAATAAGCGTCTGCCAAGAAAATAGAGTGAGATAATAAATTTAGGGGATATAAACATTGGTGTAGGTGGGGTATTGTAATTTCATATGTGGTAATCAATGGAAGGCCTCTCTGAGAAGGTGACTTGTGAACAGGAACATGAAGCAAAAAAGAAGAGCAAGTTCTGGATATCTGGGACAAGAGAATCCCCAGCAGAGGAAAGAAGTGCGAGGGCCCTGAGGCTGGAGAATACCTGGCATACTCTGTGAATTGCCAGGAGTCCAGTGCGGCTGGAGCAGAGGGGACCAGCAAAAGGAAAGATCGTGGGGTCAGAAAGGCATTATAGAAGTAATGCTGTAGTGTCTTGTAGCCATGGTGAAGGCTTTGATGTTTAAGCTATATAAGGCAGAAGTCAAAGGAAGGTTTTTGGACACAGAACAGATTGCAGGAACAAGGATGCAGTCTTATTACCTTTGATAACTTTCCTGAGTAACTGATTCATCATAAGTGCTCATAAATACTAGTTGAATAATTATCTATTATCAAGGTCATTTGCAATATAACTACCATTCTTAGAGTATATTTTAGTTAGCCTATGTCCTTTTGTAATTGCCATATTTAGAAATAGACCAAGGTACCCAAGTTTAATCTGACAGGGTGAAGAGAAATACATATTCCATGATGTTCCAAATCAGTGAATTCCAGAGATTTTACTTTTTCTTTTGGCAGACAAAGACACTATTGACCATTACAGTTAATAAACACTCCTTTTCTACAGTCTCATACTTGGGCAATTGGAGCAGGCGAGAGAAATCCAAGTAAAGGAGCTTACATTTACCTTTTCCAAATTTATATTATTTAAAAATATAAGAAAATATTGAAGATATACCATGTACTAGTTCAGTTAAACAAATACCTAGTGAGCATCTAATAGAAGCCAGTTCTTTCCTATGGAATGCCAAGTAAGGTTAGCATGGTATACCAGATCCCTCACCAAGATGGCTTCATAGGCTTGCCTGAGTTTTGTTTTCTCTATTTCTGAATTTGTAAACATTCTTTGCGTTGTTGTAAAACAAACAATTGAATGATTGTTTTCTAATTTACATGATTAGTGTCACATTTTTTAAAGCATCCTATTTTGACTTCAAGGCAGTTAATGTTTTCCTTTCCACGACACGAGGATGCTGAATTGAGGTCATAGACACTATTCATCCTAAACTCATATTTCTTCCCTTTACCATGTTCCTGCACAAGCAGTCAGGTTGTGCTTTTGCTCCCAAAAGTCAGCACTTGTATCTCTTACAGAAAGTGTCTGAGAATTTATACTCTACCCCCACCTCCCAATTGCACTATCTGGTTAATAAAGGACTGATTGGTCCTGTGGTGCAGAATTATGCTCTTGCCTCTAGTAAGGACAGCTCTGAGTAGGATCTACACAGTTTGCAGAGATCCTGCATGAGATTCAGCAAATGTTCTCTAAGGTACTTTGCTTGATGTCTTACCTTTGCTTGACTTCCTTCCCTTTGCAGCCTTATTTTCCTACTTTCCAACAAGGTTTTCTGGAAATATGTCCGAAGCTGATATATGTGTAATAGAGACACATGCCTTTCCTCTCCCCTCCCCCTATGTTCTTTCGATCAGCTTATTGTACAGATTTATCACATTAGCATTCCTTTCGGTAAGACCATATTTTAATCCACCTGGCACGCAGTTCTTATTCCTCTATCTAGTCTTCAAGAATCCCAAAGGAATTCACTCTATCTATCCTTCCAGTTACTCTAAGAAATAAATTGGTTTGAGTCTGACATTACAAGCTTTTCATTAAACAATGCTGAGCTTAAGTATATTCTCAGTACTTTCCCTAAGTGTTCAAAGCATCTTCCTAGAATTTTGGACCTTAAGCCCAGCAATATGGAGCTTTTCACCTGCAAAAGCCAGAATTACATTTTTCATCTACCTTGTCCTTTAGACATTGTTCCTTTCTCTATAATCCCTATTCTCTTAAAATGTGATGAATGACAGAGTATCATAAGAGCCTCAACAGATCTGGGCCCTGGCTCTAGCTCTGACATACCCAAAGTATACTAAGTAAAACAACAAACATAACTTCTCTGGGTTCCAATTATTATTATTATTATTATTATTGAGATGGAGTCTTCCTCTGTCACCCAGGCTGGAGTGCAGTGGTGTGATCTCAGCTCACAGCAACCTCTGCTTCCCAGGTTCAAGTGATTGTCGAGCCTCAGCCTCCTGAGTAGCTGGAATTACAAGGGTGTGCCACCACGCCCAGCTAATTTTTGTATTTTTAGTAGAGACTGGGTTTCACCATGTTGGCCAGGCTCATCTCGAACTCCTGACCTGAAATGATCCTCCTGCCTTGGCCTCCCAAAGTGCTGGGATTACAGGCGTGAACCACCGTGTCTGGCTTCCAATTCTGCTATATAAAAAATAAAAGATTCAGCCAGGTGCCCAAATGTCCATGAGTAACTAGTGGTTTAAAGAATTGTACTGCTTTCACTTAGTGGAGAACTATGCAAATTTAATTTTTGTTCTTATTTATTTCCATCCTAGTTCCAAATATGTTTGAGTCTATGCAAACATCAAAAATATAAGTCATGAATAATAAACAACATAGAGGTACTCATAATATAGGCAGAACAAAATTGTAAATATATTTTGATTATCATTATACAACATTGGTTAAACACTTAGTCTAGAAAGAACCATGAAACTCTGAAAACAGAGGCTTATAGTAGGATAATGAGTCATATTTTTATTAATACTTTTAATACATTTCAGTATAGTTCTTAGACTGTTTCTATATCACAAATAATATATTAATATAGTCATCTTTTATTTAAAAAAACAAAACGTTTCCCCTCAACTGCCAAGTCTTACTCTTTTGGGTAACAGGTAACCACTACCTTCATTTTAGTGTTTATCCTGTTTGGCTATTTTCTATACTGCTATACATATGTAGGTACACATGGCTAGAGAGAGGTGTGTTGGTATTATTCTTGCTGCTTTTGTTAAATTTTGTTAATTTTAATTAATGCTTAATTGCATGTTCACATCCTCTGTCCAATTTGTCTATTAGTTTGTTTTCTTCTTACTGGAAGTAATTTGTGAATTCTGGACATTAATAATTTGTCTCTCACATATTTTGCAAATATCTTCACTGTGTTTCTCATTTTTAATGCTCTTTATTAATTTTATTAATGTTATATTCTATATGTTATATGATATATATACACTGTATGACATATATAATATTATTCCATCATACATAAATTTAAAAATCTGCCAGGTACAGTGGTTCATACTTGTCATCTGGGAAGTTTGGGTGGCTGAAGCAGGGGGATCACTTGAGCCCAGGAGTTGGAGACAAACGTGGGCAACACAGGGAGACCCTGTCTCTACAAAAAAATTAAATGATTAGCCAGGGATGGTGATGCACCCGGAGTCCCAGCTACTCGGGAGGCTGAGGTGGGAGGATTGCTTGAGCGTGGGGCTGCAGTGAGCCATGATCATACCACTGCACTCTAGCCTGGGTGACAGTGAAAGCCTGTATCAAAAATAAATACATAATTTAAAAATCTATGTAACCAGAGTGATGTCAGTGAAAATGGAGTAGGCAGCTCCAAGGGCCCATCCCTCCATGGAAACATCAAAAAAACAAGCAAAACTATCAGAATCAAATTTGGTAGAACTCTGGAAAACAGTTAAAGGTTTGCAGCAACCAAGCAAATGGTGAATCAAAAATAAAAGGCAAACAAACAAAAAAGGTAAGAGAGTTTTGTGGCATTTGTATTTGCCACACAACTTTCTCAAGCTTGATATCGGTATTGAAGATGGCAACCCACATTCCCAGTGTTGGACCCTGGTCGCTGGATGCAGAGGGAACAGAACAGACCTTATTCCCAATGAATTATGTTTGTCTGTTCTAATCTGTCTGGATTCTACCTGAAGCACCAATGCAAGGTACTTATCTTTGTTTCACCTAACCTAGAACTCATTTAGGATGGAAAACCAGCAGTTATTCCTCAAAAATGGTGTAAGGCAAATGATCAACCCATAGCCACCTGAGGCGAAAATAATGATTGAGGTGTAAAATAGAGCAATGAAAGGTCTGGGAGGAAAACCTGGAGAGTGAGTTTCTTTAAAACAATTGGAGTATTTAAGATTTCCTGTGTATACTTCAGAATTTAAAAAAGCCATGTGCTTGCTCAGAAAAGACCTCACAAGACAGTAAGCTTTCATCCCTGCATGATCTCTAAGCTTAATTCAAACAAAAACTGAAGGCTAAGGCAAAGTTGTAAATGGACTGGCTAAGAAACTAAACAAGTCTCAGAGCAGAGCCAACTTGCATAGACTGGGAAATGTTTTTGTTTTTTCTTTCTCTCTCCCTTTATTTTATTTTATTTTTATCCTTTCATTCTCTCTTTCTCTTTCTCTCTCTCTCTCTGTCTCTCTCACCTTCTGGCCCCCAAAGACTACAAGAAAAATCTCTTAAATTCTACCTGACAGCAAGCTGAAGGAACAAAGATTTCAGACAAAGATTACAGACTTTATAATAAATATTTTAGAAAAGTCATTAAACAAACAGCTACAGCCTAAAGCTGTAGAAACAAAAACAAACCCTGTATAGGGGAAAAAAGTCTGATTTCCAGAGTTAGCTTACACATTATAATATTCAAAATATTCAGTTTTCAAGAAACTTTGACTAATTCATAGAGGAAACTAACAGTGACTATCCCTGAAGAAACACATGCATTGTACTTACTAGAGAAAGATTTTAAATTTACTGTCTTAAATATGTTCAATGAGGTAAGAAAAACCATGGATAAAGTGTCAAAAAGAACAAAAACAAGGAAACAAGAGAATGATGTATGGACAAATACAGAATAAAAATAACAATAAAATATGCAAATTTATAAAATGGAACACAGCAAAAATTCTGGAACTAAAAAGCACGACGACCAAAATAAAAAATTTACTGGAAAGTTTCAATAGCAGTTTTGAGAGGGCAGAAGAAAGGTTCTTTGAACCCGAAGGTATACCAATTGAAATCATTCAGTCTTAGAAGCAGAAAGAAAAATAAATGAATAAAAATGAACAAAACCTAAGAGATTTGTGAGATACCATTAACTGTACTAACACACGCATGATATCTTAAGGGGAAGAAGTTAATAGAAAGAATATTAAAAAAGCCCTAACTTTCAAAATTTGATAAAATACATTAATCTACACACAAAGAGTCAATGAACTCCAAGAAGGATAAATGCAAAGAGATCCACAAGACACATAATAGTCAAATTATCTAAAGCAAAGAACACAGAGAAAATCTTGAAAGTAGTAAGAGAGAAGTGACTCATCATATACAAGGTATCCTCAATAAGATTAACAGTAAACATTTCATCAGAAATCATGGAGGTCAGAAGGGAATGAGATAATATTGTTAAAGTGATAAAAGAAAAAAAATCTGTCAACTAAGAGTAGTACATCCAGCCAAGCTATCTTTCATGAAATGAAAGAGAAATGAAAACATTACCAACTGGAAAACAAAAGCTGAGAGAGTACTGTTACTATTATGCCTGCCCTGCAAGAAATGCTAAAGTAATTCTTTCAGGCTGAAGTGAAAGGACACTAAGCAGCGACTGTAAGCCATATAAAGAAATGAAGAACTCTGGTAACGGTAACCACACAGAATCCAAACATTTTGGAAAGATGACTAGACTAGGCAACCATGAAGATGTCTTACATATTATGGTTCTACAGATTTATCTTCCCAAGATTAAGCCTGTGAATACTCTGGTGGAGAGAATCGAGCTCATTATGCTTTTTGTCACAGTTAACGATAAAAAGAAGGAACTTCTAAGTTTCAAACTCCATGATTAACTACTTTTCTACTCTTTATTATTGTGAGTATAACTGCATTTAAATGAACAGGATAAATATAAGAGCAGTCTCCATAAGGGGTAGTTGAAAAATTCAATAAACTGAATCCAATGTAAAACATATTATGGAAAATTATGTATAGCCAAATGTTATCAGATTTTCTTTAATAGCCTGTATATTTTGTGTAAGGCAGCTTTTCTTATTCCAAAATTATAAATATATAATACTACATTTTCTTCTAATGTGTTCATGATTTTGTATTCTTATGTTTAGTTGTCCTAATCTATAAGGAATTTAATTTTGTACCATGTGAGTAAGCAAACATTTTTTCCAATAGCATAGCTGTTTAACCAAGGCTATTTATTGAAAAGTTCACCATTCCCTCTTTCTGCAAGTATAAATGGTTTTAAAGTATTTAAATCATTTAAACAGTTTAGAATGCTCGCTGGATCATATATTTTTAATACTACTACAGGTCTTTTTCTGAACTCTGTACTCTCTCATTGTTATCTATTTGTTCTTATGTCTGGACTGCAACGCTTTAATTATTACAGCATTTATAGTATATTTTGCCATCTTTTATGACAAGTTTTGCTATATTCTTCTTTAGTTGTTTTCTATTCTTGTACTTTTTTTTTTTTTTTTTTTTTTTTTTGAGATGGAGTTTTGCTCGTCGGCCAGGCTGGAGGGCAATGACTCGATCTCGGCTCACGGCAACCTCCACCTCCTGGGTTTAAGCAATTCTCCTGCCTCAGCCTCCCAAGTAGCTGGGATTATAGGTGACCGCCACCACGCCTGGCTAATTTTTGTATTTTTAATACAGACGGGGTTTCACCACGTTGGGCAGGCTGGTCTCAAACTCGTGACCTCAGGTGATCCATTTATTAGACAAATTTTTAAAAACATCATGCCAAGTTTGACTGAAGTATAGTTAGGTAACTGATTGAGATTACATTAAATTCTTGTATTCCTATTAATATTGAATCTTCATATCAATGAACATAATGTCTCTTCATTTATTTAAAAAGTTAATATTGAACAGCGCCAGATTTATCCCTTTCCTCCTGTGTGATTTTAAGCAATTTACTTAACTAATCTTTTGGGTGAAGATTCAATAATTAAATCCATATAAAGCTTTTAGAAAAATGCACAGCACATTGTAAACACCTTATTGAACTATTTAACACTTTTCCTTTAGAACAAATGTATGTAATATTGTCCACAGAAAACAGACAGAAAAATTGAGCCAGTCACCAATTATTTTCTTCACTAAGCACCTAAATGTCAATTTGCAGAACAGTGCAGGCAGGTCTCCTGTTTTCTAGGCTTTGGTTCCATGTTATACAGAAGCAACAGGTGTGCTCAGGCAACAGCAAGGTTTGGGTTTGAGCTGCAGCCCTGCTATGGGTTATAATCAAGTCATCCGATCCCCTTCCTAGAAATAATTACCTACAATGTTTTTGTGAGAATTCAAAATAATAACATAATGTAATTATATTTATGAGGCACATTAAACATTATGCTTTATTATCCCAATAATTCAAGGTACTGCCAGTGTCCCCATTTTGCAGTTGAGGAAACTGAGGCACATGGAGGTTAAGTAACAATCTTCAGGTTATAAAACTAGCCAGTTCGCTTAACCACTATGCTACACAGCTTTTCATGTTTCCATAGAAAGCAAGTGGCAAAAAGAGGTGCTTAACAAGTGATAAATCTTTGGGGTTTTTTTTATTGGTTATTATTTTTCTTAATATTGGGTTATGACCTCAACCCTGAGAAAAATTAAATATATACCAAAGAGTGATAAAACTCAATGAAAGGTATCAGATCATGCACACCATATTGCTTTGTACTTTTTGACTAATTTCATGACTGAAAAAAAGGGAACTGGGTAAATGGCCACAGTAAGTAACTTCTAAATCAGTGGGCTTCTGATCTCTGGTGCTGTGGTCTCTGTGTCTTAAAGACACAACTGTGGCTACTGCCAGTAGACATGAGCATTTTCAGTCTATGACAGAATCCATTAATGAATTTGAAAAACTCAATTGGAAAAAAATAATCCAACTCTACAATGTAGGTTCGTTGTATAGTTGAGTATCTTTAGTTTCCTGTTGCCACAGTAGCTATATATAGAAGGAAGGGCATAAACTAAGACATTGTGCTACTATCTACCATAAAGGTAAGATTTGGTTACACTCAGCCTTATATCAACATGCACAATTAGTAGTCTTATTAATGGTGTTAGAGTTTTAACCTTGTTAAAAATAAAGCAACGTAATTTATCCTATTGACCTCTAACTAGACATAATTTAATATTAATGAAGAGGCTCTAGATTGACACTTGGTAGTGATGAATTTATTTTCTTTTTATAGTAGAGAAAGGCTGTGGATCAGAAAGGCCAAATATGCAGAACTTCATTCAAGGATTTGAATATCATGTCGACAAAATGTTATACACTCAACTAAGTTTTTATCATTTCGTCTTGATGCTTGCACATCATTTAGGCATGTATCTGAGACTAGAAACTGTTCAAAATGAAATCCAAAATCTTTAAACCTTCAACTGACTTGAAATTTTGGTCAACTCAATTCTAATTTGGACTAAGGTCAATTTTATTGGAGGCTATGTTTGTAGACACATTCAGATTTTGAGAATACAAAGAGTTGAAATCACTCAAACAAGTGGTGACTAAAATGTTTTAACTCTAAAAAAAAGAAACAGAAACCATCTCATATGGATTTTTAAAAAAACTAATGTTCCAGATATGTTTTACAAAATAAGGGCAATCACTCTAATAGTATTTCTGGCTGGGAAGGTGAAGCACAGGTGAACATTAATGGGCCCCTCTTACATGCAATCTTGGAATTTCTGACCAGAAAAACCAAAGTTTCAGAAAATGCAAATCTATTTTTTTTAACATAAGTGCACAGATCTTTTGTTTGAAATAGCACTCTTTTTAAAAGCCAACAGAAGGTGACCAGTATATTACGTCTTACCAAGTTTAAATACCAGAGGAAAATTCTAAAGTTACTCTTTTGTCTACAAGATTAGGCACTTATAAAATTAAATATACATCTTAGGCAACTATAAGCTGAAGCAACTGGAAAGGGATACCTTATCCCAGATACTGTAGTATGCCATTGTTCGATCATGTCATTAATTTATAATATTGTAAGTATTTTCTATGCTGTTCTTAATGCACCTGGCATCTTATTTCTGGCTTTTAACTGCTGACATGTGCTAGGAATAAAGTCTAAAGAGCCCACGATAGACAAGATGACTCCTGAACATTTTTCCTCAAAGGACCATTCAAAATTAGAGCCCATCAGAGCACAGAAGAGTTTCAAGACTATTTTGGCCAATATCCATTATTTTTCACATTTTTCTAAGTTATATTTCATGTACTATCCAATTCCCTAAAGTGCTTACAGCCACTTGGAGTTTTTCCAGAATCCCAAAGTTTCCATTAACCAAAATAATTTCGTAGAGTATGCCAAAATCACTTGCTAGCTCTCCTTTGCCTCTTTCAAGACAGCAATGACTAATAAAGAGAAAACTTCTTCCTGTCTCCTCAGTCTGTCCCACTGCTCTCTCCTCTCCCACTTCCCTAGGACTTAATCCAAATTCTGGTCCTTTTTTTTATTATTAGTTTGTTTTCTTTTTGTTTTTGAGACTGAGTCTCACTCTGTGGCCCAGACTGGAGCGCAGTGGCATGATCTTGACTCACTGCAACCTCTGCATCCCTGGTTCAACTGATTCTTCTGCCTCAGCCTCCCAAATAGCTGGGATTACAGGCATGCACCACCATGCCCGGCTAATTTTTGTATTTTTAGTAGAGAAAGGGTTTGGAAAAAAACTATAAATTTATTTTCAGGACCTATTTTCAGAACTAAAAACTAACCACCACTCACACTTCTAAAGATTGCATGCAAATTATTGACATATTCTCCTAAGTTTTCTGCATTGGTCTTCAAAAGTATATTAAGTCAAGTTTATAGTTCAATTGATCTTTTTCCCCCTAAAATCGGTGTGGGGCTGCTGATGATCATTCACACAGCACCTAGTATACATAATTTTTTTATCAAATATCACCATATCTGGAGGTTCAGTGTGTAGATTTTATAGATTTAAAGATTTTCCTTGAATCCTGGATCTGCTGCCTGTTTGGGCAAATTATTTAACTTTCTTAAATCTCAAAGAAAGAAACAAACTTTCTTTGTTTGCATAATGGAGAAAAACACCCATTTCATAAGGCTGTTAAGAAAATTAAATGACATAATCTATGTGTAGTGTTTAGCAACAGGAACATAGCTTAAATGTTAGCTATTATTCTTATCATTTTCAAGAATGTCAGAAAAAAACTTATTAATGTCAACACTTGATTCACAGTTTGGACTTAGTATCACCTCAAAAAATGTATTAATAGTTTGGGTCACATGAGTAACATAACAATGTGGTTTCCAAGAAAACAGGGACAATAGTTCATTCATGCCTAATTCTGTCCCTACAGCCTACTACAAACAGGCTAAATACTGACCTAGATGAAGTGTTCACTTGAAACATTTTACGTATATAATAACTTCTAAACTACTCAATATGTCATCAAGGCCCTCATTGCTTTAACTCTGTAGAGCACACTGATGCTTGCTTCATCAGCATCATAGTTTACTTTCCCAATTTTATTAATATAACAGCCTGGCCATTTGTCAGGCTTGACTGCACCTAGAACTCTCGGGAGGAGATCTTTCTCAGTCTTAGACAATCATTGTAATTCTACCATTCTTAGCACAGTTTTTGTTTAAGTCGTGCAGTATCAATCAGGTCTAAGCCAGTAAGAACAGACTTCCCTGGCCACTGGACTGCTTTCAAGGATGAATATGTGATACAAATGGGCTAAACGAGAGTGAAGGACAGTACATAGCTTTGACCATTAGACTAAGAGAATCGCTTTCTCTCTTGCTAGGCAAAAATGAAAAAGTATAGAATGCTGTTCCTCTTGATAGCCCTCCTGTAACAAAGAAAGGAGCTCATTTTAGGAAAGCTGATGACCTAGAAGGCAGAGCAGAGAGATACAAAACAACTGTAAGAAACTTTTTTTTTTTTTTTTAGTTAATACTGTTGAATTACTGCATCAACCCTTACCTGTAGAGAATCAATACATTTCTTTACTTTTTAGTCAACTTGAGCATTCTTTCAGTTGTAGGTAAAAGTCTGTGAATGCCTATGTGCCCCAATCAGTTTCCTAGTGTTTGCAAATGGAGAGGCCAGAATCAGAGTTAAGGGTCAAAGTTTTCAATGAGATAAGATATTCACTCAGTGGGTCTATACATACCAAAACAAACAAACAAAGAAACAAAAAACCAAAATCCCTCAAACCTAGCTGTATTGGTTCATTTAGTCCAAGGTCACTGCAAACTGACGTTGAGCATCATGCAATCCCCTCTAGTTTAACTAAGTCTCACTTAAAGAGCTAAAGATTTAAGAGAAGAAATTCATTGGAGCACCTGTGTCAATTGCCCTAAAGGAAGGATGTAGTTTGGATATCTACTGTTTTTTCATTCATTAAACAAATGTTTGTTCAATGCATTTTATGTGTCATGCTGGGTTCTAGGTGCTTGGATACGTTATCCAAAAAAGGGATGCTCCAAAATGAATATGATCAACTCTGGGTTGGTAGAGATTTCTCCTCATATGAACTGTAGTACACCAAAGTTAAAATAATTACAAAGTATTTTAAAATGTGAATGTGATCCTTTGGTTTTTGAAGCCTCTTGTTATTTTTCTAAAATGGAAATATCTAATGATAGAGTTATTCATGGAGGGGCTTCTTCAGTCATGGCAACCATAGATTAAGGGAAATTTTCAAACAAATAGTTGAAGCAGAAGATCAAGATCCGTAACTCCATTTTGATGCTTACCTGGGGAAAGTTCTAAGCTGATTGCTGCTGTCATGCTCCCTTTCTTGTTTTTTTTTTTTTTCCTAAGATCTCTAAGACGGGCAAGAAAAAAAACCCATCTCTGTCTTCTCAACTTCTCAGATTCTTTTCCCTTAGAGAATGTATTATCTGGCCTCTCTTTTGAAAATCAAACTCAAACTACAAGGAAAAAATTAATAAATGAAAAATTTAAGATATAATTAAATCTTACATGGAGGAAGGGGAATTGAAGATGAAACATATTTAACACTTTAAATATAAGTTTGAAAAATGTGTTTAAAAAAAACCCAAAGTTTCTGAGAAAAATTCTATTGATGCACCAACAACATTAGTTCATTATCAACAGAAATATTTGGTTTTGTTTTGTTTTTTTCCCCTTCTTCTAGCTTCTAACAGGAATGCTAAGCTTTTATTTTGAATGATTCTGGTGGCAAAGCAGCCTTTTGATTTAATCATTTCCTCTGGAAAGATGTCACCTATTTAACAAGGGTCTCAATGTCATAGGAGAAAGCAGAAGGCAGGTCTAGGCAGAAAATAAATGCCTGTCGCACACTGCAGTTCATTTTCACATGAACAGATATAAAATTGGACCAAATTGGTGTCTCTCAAACCTAGATTTGTAAAAACAATTTCCTTCATAGTAAAAGCCCAAAGTCTGGTGTTCTTTTTTTTTTTTTTTTTTTTTTTTTGCTGATGTCCAAGATACTGTAGATTCATTGATCACATCTAAACAGTATTCCCCAGATGCAGAAATTGTAGAACAACATTCACATCATATCTTGATAGCTAAGTGCACAAGGTTTCTCTAGGAAATTTCATTCACATTGTCATGAACTAATTCTTAGGGAAATGGCTTTGGAATTTAACATGTAAAAAATGAGAAAATGCAAAATCACAGTGTTGGTGAAGAGGAATAGAAATGGTGTTCTCAAAAGTGGCTGGAAATGGCTTTAATTACTGTACAACTTTTGGAGGACAAATCTTCAGTAAATACCACAAACATTAAAAATAAGCCATATTTGACCAAATAATCTCACTTGTATGAATTTTTCCTAAAGAAAGAAATCAGAAGTGTCCAGACACATATCTATTTCCATCCAATGGAATAATATACAAGAGTGAAGATGAACCAACTATTGCTACATGTATGAACATGGATAAATCCATGTATGAACATAGACGTACAGCTCTATGAAAGAAGCAAGTCATAGAAGAATACAAACAGTGAGATACATCTTCATAAAATCCAAAAGCAAGCACAACCAAACAATATCTTATTTATAAATAACTACACAGCAAAATTATAAATGAAAGCAAAGTATCAATAATAAAAATTGAAAATAGTAATTAAATCTTAGGAGAAGGAGGCATACTCAAGGAGGAACCATCTATTGACTTAAAACTTGACATACAATTTTGGAAGCAACTGAGTATCTTGAACCTTTGATTTTTCTTGCATAAATGAAATCACCGCACTGACATGAAATATACACTTAATAAAGTGGTTTTGAAAACCAACCTTGACACTTTAAGGTTTTAGGAAAAGGAGATATTACCTATTAAAACATTAAGGGGGAGCCGGGCACAGTGGCTCACGCCTGTAATCCCAGCACTTTGGGAGGCCGAGGAGGGCGGATCACAACGTCAGGAAATCGAGACCATCCTAGCTAACACGGTGAAACCCTGTCTCTACTAAAAACACAAAAAATTAGCCGGGCGTGGTGGTGGGCGCCTGTAGTTCCAGCTACTCCGGAAGCTGAGGCAGGAGAATGGCGTGAACCGGAAGGCAGAGCTTGCAGTGAGCCGAGATCGCGCCACTGCACTCCAGCCTGGGTGACAGAGGGAGTTTCCATCTCAAAACAAAACAAAACAAAACAAAATTAAGGGAGAATAGATATAATAAATTTAAAGAAAAAACCCTCATGAGGAAAATTTCTGTTGATGCTACAAAATGTCAGTTATTCCTCAACAGTTTTATTTTGCTAGCACATTACAGAATGGTAAGTGCCCAGTAGAATTATTATTCTTGTTATAGGTAAAAGGATTAAATATATATATATATATAATGTAATGGAACATTCAATGGGAGGGACTATCTTGTGGAAACATTTTTAATAATATTTGTAATGAAAATGGTTCTTTTGTTTTTATTGTTCTATATTGTAGCTTTAAAAGGTATAGGCGGATTTGAATCTAAAATATGCTTCATATTATTAGTGTATGTTAGTTGAAAGACAGAAATACATGAAATCAAAGCATAAAGATATGGAAAAAGATTAAGATTTGGGGCTAAATGCTACATGTTTTAAAAGAAGAGATAAGTAACATGAAAATTTTCAAGACAGTAAAATTAATTTAAAATAATCCTAGAAAAATATAAAAAGCATATGAAATGGTAAATTAGGATAGAAATAAAATGGAGATAAAATTTGATTTTAAGACATAAATGGGAAATTAAAGTGCAAATAAGTGAAATTATAACTAGTATTAAGTATAATTTCATAAAAATCCTAAATGATAATTGTACTAAGTAAAGTGGCAGTATACCTCATCTCAAGAACAAGGAAGAGGAAGGTGAAAAGGTAACAAAACTTGTTCAATAGTGAAAATGTCCATGCAATTTTGGAATGGTGTAAGATGAAAAGCTGAAAATAGAACAGGAATAGATAAAGGAAAGTAAATAATGACAAAAAGAAAAGGGACTTGAGAAGAGTCACAACTTCAGTGTAGCATGAAATTGAAACATGGCAAAAGGATAATATGAAATTCTGAAAAGGCAAATGACAAAAGTGTAAAACCCCCCAAAATGGTTAAAAAAGAAGACAAAGATGAAAAGGTTTTGGGTGATTCTGAAGAATTAACACTGCGTTATTATCAGTGGAAACACACAAATGAGAACAAATGATTGAACTCTACAAAGAAAATGAATAATGAAAAGCTTGAGGAAGATTTTTTTTTAAGCTGAATAAGGTGAGATAAACATCTGTGAATACCAAAAAGAAACACATGGCAACAATGCTTGCTTTAATGGTAGATCAAAGAGCAATAGAGAAATTGCAGAAACGCTTTTGAAAAGATAAAAGTGCAACAGAAAGCTGAAAGAAACCGGCGGGGGTGGGGGTGGGGGAGCTTACTGAATGAATGAACTGCTGAGAGGGGTATATTTCTCAATTATTTATCTGCTTTCTGAAGTAAGTTGTTGAGATGATGGTGCAAAACATACTACTAAATTGGAAACAATACAAAACATGTATTTAAAAGTTTAAGAATTTTAAAAAATATGAGCAATAAACAAATTCAGAGAATCAGATGTTCTGATTCTTATATAATCCACATAATTTAGTCAACTTCATTCTAAATTTAGAATTTACATTCTAAAATTCTACAGAAGGATTGCTGAAATATTATTAAGCATGACAATTTGAGACAACTAGAATTCTGAACCAACACGTCACTGGCAGTACCTGATGTTTCTAGTATACACTGGATATTTCAAATATAAAATAAAGTGAATTGTTGGTACTATTAGGCAAAGACTACTCTAAACTACTTCATAGACCCTACCCCACCCTTGTATATATGATTGATGTTAAATTCATATCTCGTAACTATATTATGAGGTTATATAGAAACAGTAAAATAGAAGGAAATCTATGTCAACAAAAATGAGTAACGTAAAAAAGCATATTGGAAATCTATAGAAATGAATACACCAAAGGGATAGCCTATTTTTATTTGATAAACCATTCACACACACTCACACAAAAACACAGATAAATAGAAGCAGAATATAAACCTGAGACATAATTACTGTGGAAAAATATCAGAGAAGAGCTAAATAGGAAAGCATACCTTTTGAAATTTTAGTTTTCAAAATTCAAGGTAGGGATTTTTTGGACAGAACTTAGAATATACTGAAGTCAGTTTGGAAAGTTAACATTTTGAGATCCCAGAAATCAATCATTAGAAAACTGCCGGGTGGGTGTGGTGGCTCACATCTGTAATCCCAGCACGTTGGGAGCCTGAGGCAGGTGGATCACGAGGTCAGGCGTTTGAGACCAGCCTGGACAGCATAGTGAAATCTCTCTCTACTAAAAATACAAAATATTAGTCGGGCGTGGTGGTGGGTGCATGTAATCACAGCTACTTGGGAGGCTGAGGCTTGAACCTGGGAGGTGGAGGTTGCAGTGAGCCAACATCACACCACTGTACTCCAGCCCAGACGACAGTGCGAGACTCCATCTCAAAAAACAAAAAAAAAGAAGAAAAAAGAAAACTGCCTAAGGAAAGACCACACAAAGTTGGAAGGAAAAGAAAAGCAGAAGATCAAAAGAAACGTGAAATATTAGCTTAATAATAAGAAAAGCTGATAATGGAAAAGGAAAAGGTCACTGAGATGACGCTGGGTTTATCCCTAAATACATACGTGTCATAGAGAATCATTTTTCACAGGTTAATAGAGGCTGTCTAGAGTTCATCAATGGGATGAGGTCACTGGTGTTACCAAAAGTAGTTGATAAGAACTGCTAAAAGTCGTCCTCTAATTTCATAAGGCTTGAAGAAAGCTCTACTGAGTAAACATAGAAGTTGCCTTTCGAAATTCGCCTGAAGAGTTGGGTCAGACCAGGTCTTTATAATCATTCCCAGTTATTTTCGATTTCTCCCAGGCCATTCTGATACTATGAATTTAGGACAAAGCTGGGGCTTGAACCCCAGTGGCTTGACTTTCATTCCATGACTTGTTTTGCTTTAATACCTAGAAAGCCAAGCAATAAGCGTGAAGATCATTCCTTATGCCTTAAGTATAGAAAATTGTGTGCATGAGGAAACAAGATTTCCAAGATATGTGATTCTCATAACTTATATTTAAAGCATTCTCTCCATTTAATTTGATCCTCACAACAATCTTGTGAGATATGTAAAGAAGACTTCATTCTTATTATCCCAAAATTTCCAATGAGGAAATTGGTTCAAAAAGATAAGAAAGCTATTCAAGTTAATAAAATACATGACAGAAAGATTAAAATCGAGATTTTTCTCCAGAACTTCAGAATAAGCCCTCCCAAAATAATAGACTCCCAGTAGTTATCCTTCCCTCTTTCTGAAAGCAGCATAGTAGATTATTAAAGAAAACATTTAACATCTCAGTCTGAAGAATTTGCATTTGCAGTATTTTAAAAGAATATAGAATTGCCCGAAGTGGGCATTTGATTTAAATCTGCATTACTAAGAATTTCATTCATGTATCTGGAATTTTACTATTTTTCTTTTGCTTGGTCAAGAAGCTAAAATCCCAGGTTGACATATTGATGGAATACTGGATGCCCCTAGTCTCTGAATCTAGCTCTGGGTCTTTCTTCCCCACTTCGCCATTTGAGTTCTCAATCACATGCTTTACGTTTGGTACACATCGCCATGCTCTTGCAGGCAATTTTCTTATAGCACAAAGGATTTCTGAAAATGTTACAGTATAATCTAACAACTTTACACACTGTTTAAGAAATATAGAAAAGGGCAACTTGCTCTCATTTGCTTCTCAAATGCCAAACCCATATACAGTAATACAGTTTTATGGAGTGTAGGGTTTTTTTTTTCTTGGCATTAGACATTACATTACTTTTCAGTGGCATAAATTGAAAACAAAATCACATTACCTGACAAATTTTCAGCAATTTGCCAGTACTAAATGTTACCGAGTCCATTAGTACTTGTATATTGAGTTTGCTTTATATGAGATTTTTCTCCCCTATAGCCGTGGTAGAAGAGAAATGCAAAGGGAAAGAAAAACTAGCTATCTGTTAGCACAGAATGTAGCTTTCAATGTAAAAAGAAAAGCCTTGTTTCAAATTAATAATTTTGTAAAACTCTAATAGAACATGTTTAAGAACAGGGTTCCCAAATCACATATCTGTACATTTGGAGAATTTCTAGAGAGCTAAATAAACATGAAGGTTTTTCTGGAGACTTCTCTTACATGAGAATCCTATATTATTATTGTTATTACTATACTATTGTTATTTTTCCTTATTTGAACTCAACTTTTATCTTCATATGCTGAACTGTACTTGAATTATCAAAGACAATTGTAGGTCTAGAACCTGTGTACTCCAGCAGAATGGTGGCATCATTGATTAGAAGAGGTTAATATTACATTATATTTGGATTAGGATGGAGTAGGAAAGCTGATGTTTTAAAATTCATAAGATGCGTGTTTTAAGATAATGGTGCCTGCAATCTGAACGTAGAGGAAATGGGAACTGTGGTTCATTTATTTCCTCTGTGCATTGCATTTGACTGACATTGGCTAGGTAAGACATAGCAGATACTCAATGTTTGTTATATGAGTAGATGGATGCATATATGTCAAGACATTTAAAATGATAAATTCCATTGGGTATCTGGCGAAAGGAAGGAATTAAGGTTTTTTTTTTTCTTTGTTATGATGTGGGGCAGAAATTTTAGGAATCGCCCACTGTAAGTTTTAGAGTAATCCTCAGCTACCACTCTGAGAAAAAAGGCAAATAGAATAGTTCTGATGGTAATGTCCTAGCAACCATTTTCACTAGATGTAAATCAAATTGTTTAACCTGTATTATTTACCAAGGCCTGTATTACTTACCAGTCCTGGAGAGTGAAAACCAGGTATTTTAATGGAGGAGCTGTAAAACATGTCCTCCAAATATAGAAGAGATCTATTGTATATTCTGAATAGGTTCCATAGGAAAAAAATGTTAAAAAAAAAACTTAGAAGAAAATATTTAATAATTCAGGTAGAATATATATGTTAATATGAGCCACAGCTGTCTTCTTTTTTTTGAGACGGAATTTAGTTCTTGTTGCCCAGGCTAGAGTGCAGTGGTGCGATCTGGGCTTACTGCAACCTCTGCCTCCCGGTTCAAGCGATTCTTCCACTTCAGCCTCCCGAGTAGCTGGGATTACAGGCACCTACCTGCCACCACACCCGGCTAATTTTTTGTCTTTTTAGTAGAGACAGGGTTTCATCATGTTGGCCAGGCTAGTCTTAAACTCCTGACCTCAGATGATCTGCCCGCCTCGGCCTCCGAAAGTGAAGGGATTATAGGCGTGAGTCACTGCATCCGGCCGAGCCACAGATATCTTTTAAGAGTACATTTTATTTTGGATTTTTAAGTGCTTAGTCTCTTTTTTTTTTATTTAATACTATGACAATTTTAAAGCAACTTCCTCAAATACTTTGATTATATAAATGCAAAAAAAAAAAAAACAGGACATGATATTTTTGGACCAGGTTTTTTAATTTTTAAAGAGAAAATGATGTTCATATCTTTATACAATTAATCAGTAAGTGAGTGAACTGGATATCAACAAAAGTCCAGCTAATGCTTCAGGAATGGGTACTAAGACACTTTGATATTTTAATAACCTAATATAATACATGGCTTATTATTACAGTTTTATATCAGAAATAAAACAAACACAATAAGTAAATTCTCCCTGGGATGGAATCTGTAAATTAATCTGTTCAATAAGCCTATTGCTTCAAAGAAGTAAGGTGTAATTTTTTAATTGTTTTAAACAATGGTGTCTGTATATTTTCTTTTCAAAAATGTTAATTGACATAAACTAATTATAGTTTTTCTGTATTTTCATCTTTGTGCTCAAGAAGTTTCTTTATTCACTTCAGGGAGATCATTTTCTGATTAAAAAGAAAAATCCCCAAACTGGTTGATGAATGCCAAAGGTGAGAGATTAGAAATCACAACAAATTCTCATCAGAAAATACTTCCAGTTGTGACAGGTGGAGAAATACACGGGGACATAGTTTTCTTTTTAACAAGGTTATCGTGGACACAGTTAAGTAGTCCAGGTTAGAGGAGATGTATAAATGTTAGAGTCTTTTAAGAATGGCTTGTTAAGGCCACAGGGTCACACAACACTATTGAGGGTAAAAGAAAGTTTTTTTCCTGAAAGGAAAGGATTTCCCACCATCCATCATCTTGGGGAAAGTGTTAATCCCTAAGCTGAAACCAATGACAAAATGTCAGACCTTAAACAATAGTAGGAGAAAAGCCAGCCTGACTGAGAAGGTACCAGGAGCCATTCCTGTGGCTGCAGGAAATCTGTAGCAGGCCATGTGCATGCAAGCCAGCAACTGGGTCTGAGAGCCAGCTGGGCGGAGACACTTACGCAGTACTTAAAAGGGCTGAGCACCTATTCTGAGTAAAGTGAGATGGAAAAGAGCAGTGGGTGCTCCCCTGGAGCCTGGGAGGTGACACCAAGGAGGGCTCTTTGAGGAGGGCTGCTGTGTCCAGGGAAGCAAAGTTCCTAGCAACAGAGCCAATGACATAGCAGCCAGATGGTAGGCCAGGTAGAGAACTCTGTGAAGGACCTTTTCCTGAGCATTTGACTTGTACACACTTATTCTAGAAAACATTCAGTTGTGGCTAAGATGTAGGGAATGTGGGAACTATTGCCAGGAATTAGACCAATAGAGACTTATGCCACAACTGCTCGGGTTTAAAAAGGGAAACATGGTTTTATTTTGTTGCAGAAACCGAAGCCCTGAAAGACTTCTTAAAGAATTTGAGCCCAGATTCTGATAGCCCACTAGCAAGATTACTCTATCTTGCTGATTTGCATAGTTCCGTAGGTCAGTGATACCCCCAATATGGTCTGCAGATGGGCAGCATCAGTGTCAATCGGGAACTTGTTAGACATGTAAATCATCAAGCCCTGCCAAACTTGTTGAATCAGAATCTCTGGAAAATCCACGTTTTAACAAGTTGGTGGGGCCATTCTTGCAGACATTAAACTATAAGAAGTACTGCCTCAGACGGCACAGTATGGTGGTAGGTGACTGCGTTTGAATCCTGGCTCTACTACTTACTATCTGTGACTTTGACCAAGTTGCTTAACCTCACTGTGCCTCGGTTTGTTCATGTGTAAAAAGAGAGCAGTAACAGTACCTATCTCAACGTTGTCATGAAGTTTGTTCTAAGGGTCATTTTAGGAAGTAAATACTATGATATGTGTGATGTGCTCAAAACAGAATATGGCACGTAGGAAGCATGTATAACTATGTAACCCCCTAAAGAAGTAAGTACCCAGTTTTCAAAGTACCTATTCTCATTGCCTTAGCAGCTGTAGAACTCATTTTCCTGAAGTAGACAGCCATTGCTTCAACCTTTTCTTTGTTATGATTAAGGAGAATGTGGGTCTGTAATGAATTTCTTTCTTACAGTAGATACTCTTATTTATTTATTTATTTTTTTGAAACAGAGTCTGTCGCCAGGCTAGAGTGCAGTGGCGCGATCTGGGCTCACTGCAACCTCCACCTCCCAGGTTCAAGCAATCCTCCTGCCTCAGCCTCCAGAGTAGCAGGGATGACAGGTGTGTGCCATCATGCCCAGCTAATTTTTGTATTTTTAGTAGAGACGGGGTTTCACCATGTTGGCCAGGATTGTCTCGATATCTTGACCTTGGGATCCACCGCCTTGGCCTCCCAAAGTGCTGGGATTACAGGCATGAGCCACCGGGCCCAGTCAATTGTTTTTTTCTTATAATGTTTACATCTGATTTTGAAATTCTGGGATATCACTATAGATACACAGACATGTAGATATTGTATTCAGAAGACACTAATAGAATTACATGTGTGTGTGTGTGTGTGTGTGTGTGTGTGTGTGTATATATATATTGTTTTTTTCAGGAATAGATTTAAAACATTTTTTTGAATAAAATTTTGAGTATATATATATATATAACCTGAAGGTCAAAAGGTAACCACTCCACATGCCTGATCTTTATTTCAAAAGTATAGCCCTGACAACCTTCACATTACTTTTCTGTCATCACCAGGGACCACTCACTGACAGGCATGGAATGCCATTATCTTTGGTGAGACTGCAGTATTAGCAAATGCCTACAGGAGTCTTACATCGTAAAGTTGCATCTAAGATTTGGAGACATTCCTTTAAGTCAAGACATTGCTTCTAGGAAGTTCCCATAAGAATGCTAATATGTCATTTAAAAAATTATAATTAAAGAGTATTTGATCAAATAAAATACCCATAACTTAGCATAGAATTAAGACTTTGAAGACATGGGATAGAACAGAGAGAGGTTGAATGTGTGAGGTGGGCAGGATGTCGGGAATGCCTGCAGAGGGCAGGAAATCCCGAAAGCTCCTAAGAGATACTGAGATGGGTTACTGAAATGCTTGCATATCGGGGCACTTGTGGCTATGGATGAACTTGCCTACTGACAATTCTTCTCTGGACAGAATTCTTCCTTTTCATCTATCTCTTTCTCCAAATACTTAAACTTTCCTTTCAGGATCAGTACTACTTAAAAGTAAGCAGAGAAAAATCTCACTTTCTCCCTGTTTTTATATTCCTATGACAAGGCATTGGTCAGCACCTGTGGAATAGCCATTGTTACTGGGACCATAGCTTTAATATAATTATGGATTTCAACCCACTCTTTGCAGTTTCCTAGGGAAGTTAAATATGGTTCAAGAATATTAAGTGGCTCCAAAAAATAAAATGAATTGTATGAAAAGAATCATAGTTTCCAAAAAAAATGCACTTCTAAAAATATTTCTGAAAGTGCAACCTTCACTGATTTTTAAGCAGCTTTATTTCTTCTTCAAAAGTGCTGGGGGAAAAGTCAATTGGTTCTGTTTTATTTGACTTTGCAAAATAATGCTGATTTGAGAAAAGTCATCACAATTGCCTAAAGTTCTGTGAAATAATGATGTGGTGTGGCTTCTAGTTAATGGTCCCAGTATATTTGTAAATCAGAAGATTTATTCCAGAAGTTGTTACATAAATATCAGCAGGGTAGATTTCTTTCATTTATTTTGCATAATTACACTCAAAATGGATAGTTCTAGCATTTTAAAGCCAACGCAACTGCCTGCAGGAGAATGTCTTTATATTCATGGAAGCATCAGCATATCGCAAAGACATGTCTTGGTAGGTCTAAATTATTTTGGATATCTACTTACCATCACAAATGAGAATTAGGGAAAACATAACTCTGTATGGATAGAAGGCAAAAGAGCAAAATGGCACTTGACTAATAAAAAGAGTCCTCCAAGTGTCTGCAGTTCATGTTTCTAAGAGCTTTCACTGCTCATTCTCCAAAGAAATAAGAGGGTTAATCTTTGGGAAGATATTTTCACAGAACATCAAACGACAAATAAGTATAAGCAACACACATCCAAAAAAAAGTATTTAAAAAGTGCTTTCTGCATTTCATCTGGCCCCGCCCCATCAGCTCTCACTCTCATGCATATATAGACCCTTCACAATTATATCTAATTCATAGAAACATAAGTACTTTCAACCTATATGGGCCTCCCCTATCCCAATGACGTTTTCCTTGAATTTCTCTTTGTGAAACCATACTTTCAGTCCCTTTCTTAAGATTTATAACCCCGATTATATTTCTAAGGCAGATTCATATGACCCAATACTCCACTTAGATTCTGTCTATTTTCCTCTTGTTATTTTTCAGAAGGCCATAGACTGCAGGATCGAAATTGAGGTAGTTTGTTAAAAAAAAAACAAAAACAAAAACAAACAAACAACAAACAAAGCATACATATTTCTCTAAAAGCCAAATTATTTTGTCTTAAATAAATGCTAAGTTCCATTTTCTCAACAAAAGTTAGATGCAGAGAAGTAATCTTTGCCTCCTTGACATCAATATTTGCTCAGTGATTTGCTGATGACAGAGCTTGCCATGTGGTTCTAAAATTATTTAAACCCATTACTGATTTAAAATAATTTTCTGAACATTTTTTTTTCTTCAGCTTGTCCACAATTTTGTTGGCCTTGTTCTAAATTCTTAGGCTGAAATGCTTTCACTTACCAAAGAATACAGTGCCCCGGGACCACGGCTCCAGGCTTCTTTCAGACTATGTAGGGCTGCAAGAAACATCTGAATATTTTCCTAGTGCTTAATTTCAAACATACATCTCAGATAGTGGAAAGTCAGACTTTTAATACAAATTCACTACCAAGTAAAACTCAGTGAGAAAATGGTGTTTTCAATAGTTTCCAAGAAAATACTTGTAATGAAGACCCCTTTGGTCATACAGTACAACCCAATCTCTCCCTTGAATTTCTTCTTACCTAAATGCATTGCTTTCTGAAATGTTTCTGTAGATGTGCCCACCTATTATGTTAGTAAAACACCAAAGATGCAGAAGTCAAAAGAAGATCTTGAAAAAAAATTTAGTGAAGAATTCCTTAATTGTTACTGAATATAAATAGTTGGTTTCATATTCATAATGGAATCAGTTCACCTAAGCCTGCATCTAAAAGCTTCTGTTTAATCAAATTTACTGGATTTGATGAAATTCCTGACATTCCAGGATAATATTTATGTTTTCGTTGGTGTAAGGTATGTTAAAGTCTTTTTTTTCCCCTTAAGTTTATTCAAATGAGCGGGCAGAGACTATTTTATATTAGTAATTGGTACACGAAATGTGAGTATGCTTGATAATTTCTGGATTGACTATTTTTCTTCCTGATTGAATTAGAGGTGAGCAGTCTGCTTTCTAGTATCCTGAATGAATAGCAACATAAATATCACAATGGCAGTTGAATGCATGCAATTGATTTTTGCTTCAAGAGTCTACCGTCATCACACATTTCCACTATGAGGGTTAGAGCATGTATTGGGTTTCAGAAAATTTCTTGCATTAATACATTGGATATCTGGTTTTCTTTCCAATAATGCAAGTGATTACATTTTAAGAGAGGATACTGATTTTTATCTTTTATTTTGCTATCAGTTAAGATGTTTATTACGTTTTAAAACTCAGGGAGTAAGATGAAGCTGCTGTGATTATGTGCTTAAAAAAAACCAGTTTCATAATATTTCTTTGTGAGGATTCAGCTTCAGTGAAATTCTTATCTACTAAAATTTGGACAAAACACTGGCAAACAACCGGTCCATCCAGTTGTGGAAAAACAGTAACTTGAACATTTTAGACAACCTTCTATGAACGCAGTCCCAGTGTAAAAAACCCTTCGAGAATGATTGGTTTTAATGTAAACAGTAAATGTTTCCTAAATTCTCTATTCTAATTCTGCAGCCCAAACTTTATGTACCACATGTCAGCTTCCAAACAATACATCTTTGTGATGATTTCACATCTAGTTCCTCATAAGTAGCACTTGGAAATGCTAAAAAATAATATGGGCTCTCAATGTGTGCCAATCAGGGGGAAGAGCTAAAGTTTAATATGTCCTCATTAAGAAGATATGATCTATTTACCCACATCTGCCATTACTAGGAAAACTTGATGTTTAAAATGCAGGCTGTTGGTTTATTTCATTCTGTGCCCATAGGAAGCATTATTTCAACATGTCCAATAAATTAAAACAACCCTATCTTCCTCAGATTATTATCTGTATTACTGTTGGTAATACCCTGAAAGAAAGAAAGCGAATGGGTCCATTCTCATCTCTCTCCATCTACTGTTCCCATGATTAACAACCAGAGTAACAGATGCAAATAAAGTCCTTGTCCCTGAGGGTGTTGTCCACACAACAGTTAAGATAATTTAGCAATACTCATAAAAAGACTTCTTGGGTAACAATCCCAGAAGAATCTATAGCAATATTATGAATTCTTCTTAGCATATTTTGTCCACATTATGGTTAATAATGGCTGGTTTCCTACAATATAAATTGAGGAGAAATATAGTCTGGGTTCCTCTTACACATCCAAAAGGGCTAGTCAGGAAACCCTACTTTTATTATATTACCACTGCCCATTCTGCTCCTACAAGCTTCCTTCCTTGAGAGTTTACAATATAATTTTCTCTAATTCTGTTTCCTCTTCTACTTTCAAATATGGAAAAGGCTACATGCAGAAATCCACCTACTTAGAGGCCTGATCTCTCAAAGTGGAGAGAATTGTTTATGATATAAGCTCTTAACACAAATTTGGAAGTAATGTAGTATTTACTGCATATCACTGGTATACAAACCTATTTATGAAGGTAAATAATCTCATTTGGTCTTTTAAGACATTGACATGGAAGATTCATACATCTATTTTATAATAAGCTAACTGTATATAATTATGGATTAATAATGGATATGTATTATTTAGACTGCCAATTTTGTTGAGTAGTTTTAAATTAGTAATTGATACCTTATCCTTATATATTTATTAATAATAATTAAAATTTGTAGTGGATTATGTTATACAATTGTGTTATACAATTTTATCATATCTCACGTAAATATTTTCATATAAGTTCTGACAGATCAAAGCAGCAAACATAATTATTAGTATTAAATATTACCATTTTTTTTTTGTTTTGTTTTTTTTGAGACGGAGTCTCACTCTGTCGCCCAGGCTGGAGTGCAGTGGCTCGATTTCGGCTCACTGCAAGCTCTGCCTCCTGGGTTCATGCCATTCTCCTGCCTCAGCCTCCCGAGTAGCTGGGACTACAGGCGCCCGCCACCACGCCTGGCTAATTTTTTTGTATTTTTAGTAGAGATGGGGTTTCACCGTGTTAGCCAGGATGGTCTCGATCTCCTGACCTTGTGATCCGCCAGCATCGGCGCTTCAAAGTGCTGGGATTACAGGCTTGAGCCACGGCGCCCGGCCTGTCATGATTTTATATACATTGTAATATAAACTATAATTCAAGACACAATTATTTGGGAAAGGCAATCTGACAGCTACAGTCACAGTAAAATTGTGTGCATCCTATGTCTGCTGAAAGTCCAATTCATAAAAATATTTAGTAAAACTATTCATACAATTTTGTAAAGATATATGAGCAAGGATATGTGTCAAAGCATTAATTGTAGAAGGGAAAATATAAATACATATGAATGTCATCAATAAAGGTACTGTGAGCTGGGCGCAGTGGCTCACGCCTGTAATCCCAGCACTTTGGGAGGCCGCGGCGGGCCGATCACAAGGTCAGGAGATCGAGACCATCCTGGCTAACACGGTGAGACCCGTCTCTACTAAAAATACAAAAAAATCAGCCAGGCGTGGTGGCAGGTGCCTGTAGTCCCAGCTACTCGGGAGGCGGAGGCAGGAGAATGGCGTGAACCCGGGAGGCGGAGCTTGCAGTGAGCGGAGATTGCGCCACTGCACTCCATCCTGGGCGACAGAGCGAGACTCCGTCTCAAAAAAGAAAGTAAAGGTACCGTGAAATAAATTGAGCCATCTAGATTATACTATATGTGTGAACATGTGGGAGTAAATGTGTGGAGGTACTTACACATAAAAATATATATGTATACCCATATATTTTGGCTTAATAGTAAGCAAATATCATATATATAAAATCAGATATTAGTTATAAAACATGAAGTGTGAAGCATTAACACCATGATCAACTTAATCTTAAATCCTATCAGCTTAAGTAAAAAGATTCCCCGAATGTGTGCTATGCTTGGTAAGAAGCAAGCTCACATAAGTCACCAAATATTGTGCTACTACTATCCTCACCAGAGTGTATCTAGATGCTTTGGAAGAGTATCTTTCCTAAACACCTGAACAGGAAAATACTCTTTGATTCTAGGAATATAAAATATGAAAGCAGATTCTATCATATCCCGAGAGCAAACATGTTTTGGTATATAAAAAATTACCCTTAGTGAACTTCTGCTTCCAGCCAAGATTCAGTAATGGATACCAGATATACCCTCCGTCTAGACACATCCCCCCAAAATAAACAAAATATATGAAACAATGGTTTTTAAGACATTGGATACCAGGTAATGAAGTGAAGTGGTTCCTGAAAGAAAGGTGAGCCTGACAATTGCCCCAACTTACTGCTTTGAGAAAGGCTTTAGCTGTAGCATAAAGAGAGAGAACCCGGGCCAAGCCCAACAGAATCCCAGAGTTATGGAAGTTGTTCTCTGAGAATACAAAGAGATTAAGGAAGATAGAGTTGGCAAGTTTAAGTACTGTAGACAAGGGAGCTGCACAGAGGGAAAACCCCATAGTCCCCCTTAAGTGTTCAGCAGAGTGCTGATTTGTGTGCAAATGCAAGAAAACTAGCGGTGGCCAGGAAAACAACTAGAAGTATTGGAGGAAACAGTTCCCAGTGTTCACAAAGGGATGAAAAGTGCCTATTCCCACCAGACAGACTAAAATAAAGTTCAAAATTCACAGGGAATTAGGTAGAGTGTTCAGAAGAGTTTGCTTCTATAGTGCAGAATAATTAGCCCTAGAGTAACAAACCATACCTTTGATAGTTTCCTTAGCAAACCTTTAAAAGACAGACGTGAAAGAATCAAGCTGTTTCTGAATAACTTAGCTGCATCTCAGAGCAAAGCTCAAGAATGTATATAGGAATACAAAAATATCCAGTACTCAACATGAGAAAATTCAAGATGTTTGACATCCAATAAAAAAAAAGGCATGCAAAAAATCAGAAAATATAATCCATAAGGAGAATAAAAGTCAGTCAATTAAAACTAATCCAGAATTGACATAGACGTTGGAATTAGCAGATGAGGGCATTAAAATATTTATCCTATATTCGAAATGGTAAGTAGAAAGACGAAAGATAAAAATACTATGTCAAAATTTAAGACCAAAAACTACGATGTCTGGGATCAAAACTACACTGGATTGTATTGACAGCAAATTGAATGTTTCAGAAGAAATGATCAATAAACCTGAAAAGAGAACAAGAAAGCTATGAAAAACTATATAACATTTTTAAAATATTTAAAGATGAGCCTAAAATCTGTGAACTATGAGAAACTTTAAGTAGACAAATATAAGTGCAACTGGAATCCTGGAAAGAGCAGAAAAACATTTGAAGAAAGAATTACCAAAAATTTCCAAGTTTGATGAAAGTTTCCAAATTTGATACAAGAAGCTCAATATACTCCAAATACAAGAATCAGAAAAATAATCACACCAAGGCATATCATAAAAAAGATAACATTCTAACATTCATTGTTAAGAAAAAAACTCTTTAAACCACCACCAAAAAAAAAAAAAAAAAAAAAAAAAAAGAGAGAGATCATTACTTACAGAAGAAAAAAGATGAGGACAACAGATTTCTTCTTGGAAACAATGCCAGCAAGAAGATGGTAGAACAATATCTTTAAAATACTGAAAAAAATCAGCCTAGAATTCTATGCTGAGCAAATATGATTTTCACAAAGAAAGGTGAAATAAAAACCTTTAAGCATACTAATACTGAAATAATTAATTAACAGGAGATCCATATTAAAAGAAATGTTAGAGGAAGTCCATGGGCAAAAGCGAAGCAACACCAGATGGAAATGTCTATCTACACGTACAGAGGAAGAGCATTTGAAATACCTTATGCAATGAACTCCATCATTCTTTTATAAATGAGGAATGCTCAGCAACTTGTCCAGTATCATACCACCAGCAAACAAAAGAACTGCAGTTAGAACTTATAAAGTTTTTCTAAGACATAGAAGTGGATCAATGGATTACTCTAGGTATATTTCAAATTGCCCTCCTTTAAGAAAACAATGTAGAGAAATTGTTTTCTTTACTGTTATCCCTTGAAATGATCATTTCTGGGGGGTCAATTCCAGTGCATGAGATGATTCAGAATTCATGTAGTTATGTTGGTTTTTTTCCTTAATCCCCTGAGGTTTGCCTGATTAATGACTATTTGAATCATTTAATTAATACACATTTAACTGTCTTCGTAAGAAGATGTACATTAATTTTATAAATGTAAAGTCTCTTTTTAGAAGACCTAAATGTCTAGCACGATGTTGAATACACATACAATAGCCATTTAATATATTTTGGACTTTGCTATTAGACTGTTAACTGTTTGAAGGTAGTACTATGTTTATTTATTTTTTTTAAATACCTGGTTCAATTCCTAGAACATAGCTAACATTCTGTAAATATTTGTTAACCAAATTAGTGAATTACTTAAATGAAATTAGTGGGACGGATTACTAAAAAAACAGTTTTCTGTTTTTCTCAGTAGATTCAACGTATCACGTAATGAATGGTCAATAATTTCCTTTACTCTTTCTCACTTCATTTCTTCCCTCTTATTTTTCCTCCTTTTTTTCTTTCTCTTATTTATTCTTGTGAAGAAAATACAAGAAAAGTATATATTTTTTAATCTGTGCCTGGTATTAAAGAATATCAGATGGTAAAACTTTCTCTAGCTTTGCTTGTTGAATAAAGAATGTGCTAGCCAGGTGATATGTGTATCCTGGTTTCAAATCTCATGGTAAACTAATAAATTGCTCTTTAAAATTACCAAAAAAAATTTAACACTTCAGTCTTGGATTATTTTAAATTAAATTACAAGTACAGGAGACTTTTATAACTTATGGTAGAGCTATTAAGATTTGAAAAAATTTTCCCAGGCCTTTTTTGGAAGCAGGATAAAGCTCTCTCAAAGAAAGGAGTGGAGTTCAAACTGTAAATAATTAAGGGATATAAATTCAAGTTGCTTTTTATTTGATTATAATATTTGTCTAAAACATTCCCTCTGCAGAGCTGTTGGTCATTTCTGAAAAAGGAAGCAGGTCATCACCACCTTAGTTCTGCCCAATGTGTCGTGTGTAGGCTATAAGCTTTAGAAAAACAGAGGGTGCTTCTTAAAAATATAAACCTCATGTTTTTCTCCCTGCCTCTCCCCACTCCCAACGGAATTAAAGTCTCTGTGATTAAGAACTAAGAATCTATGTGTAAAGCAAGCTCTTCAAGTGCCTTTTACATGTTCAAAGACTTTAGAACATATTAGCAACTAACTAATCCTCACGTATCAGCATGGCTTTTTTGCTGTTGTAAGCAATAGAAAACCCAACATCTATTGGCTCACAAAATTGCAAAATCAAGGGACAATTCTTGCTGTAGAACGAGGTGATGGAGGGCTCAAATAGGTCCTGGTTTCTGTTTCCCATTGTCTCAGTATCCTTCTATAAAGTTGATTTCCTTTTCTGTCAGGCTTTTCCCTTGTGGTGGAAAGTTGGCTGCATCTTCTCCAGATTATTCATATTCTCACAGTAAGTGCAAAGGTAAAAAACATAACAACAACAAAAAAAAAACACCTGATACACCCTGATATGAGCTCATTGACTGCATGGCCAGGCCTGAGTCACCTGCCTAACTCTCCAGTGACAGATGATTTTCACTGGGAGGACGTGATGGAGAGGATGGTCCTCCAGATAGAAACAGTGATACATTTACAAGAGGAGTGAATATGTGATGAGTGGGAGAACTCTGTATGTGTGTATGTTTATGTGTGTGTGTGTGTATATATATATATAGATAGATATAATATATAATATATATTACATATAAATATATATTTTTATATATGTATTTCTATATACACAGAGAGAGAGAGGAGAGAGAAAACAGGGACAGACAAAAAAAAAAATGACACAGAGAAAGACTGCCAGGTTCTAAGATAATAAATATAGAGACCTCTATGCTTTTTCTCTAAGGAAAATATTGGGTCCACCTTTTGTACTATATCCTTTTTAGGAGGTCATGAATGATTTCAGCATTACCTTGGGAATTAGTTTAGGACTGTAAAGCAATGCCAGTGACCCAATTTTAACTTAGGACCTTTTCTTTTAGAAGAAAATAAGTTCCTTGGGGTATAGACTATTTTGGAGACCTTGCTGAACCCCCCAGTTGAAAAAAATAAGAAAAGGGAGCTAGAAAAAAATGATAAACCCAGAAAAAAAAAAGAGAAAGTGGAAAATGAAAATCTAATATACCAGATAAGAAGAGATGCATCATCATAGTAATTTCTTCTCTACAATCTAATTACATTTCCCAACTGTTTTTCCTGCCAATATCAATACAATGCTTTCTTTGAAACTGAAAAATTATTTTGTAAACTGAATCAAAGCAATAATAGACTGTTTTTACAAAAGAAAACTGTAGAATTAGTTTACCTAATTTCAATTGTTGCAGTTACCAGAGCATTTTGGCTTCTTTAGCTGGCTTCCAAGAGAACTGTGATCTAAATTTCCTTTGTGTTCAGATATTTTTTGGCCTCCAGCTTTTTGAAATGTATGGCCAACTTTTCCCATTGAAAAACAATGTACGTTGTTGGGTTGGGCATGGTGGTTCATGCCTGTAATCCCAGAACTTTGGGAGGCCGAGGCGAGTGGATCACTTGAGGTCAGGAGATCGAGACCAGCCTGGCCAAGATGGTGAAACCCTGTCTCTACTAAAAATACAAAAATTAGCCAGGCGTGGCGGTGGGTGCCTGTAATCCCAGCTACTCGGGAGGCTGAGCAGAAGAAGTGCTTGAACCCGGGAGGCAGAGGCTGCAGAGACCCAAGATTGAGCCACTATACTCTAGCCTGGGCAACAGGGTAAGACTCCATCTCAAAAAAAAAAAATAAAAATAAAAACAATATATGTTGTCAGTTATATTTAGCTAGTTCAAACTACCAACTGGGTCCAGTGAGCAAGTTAGAGTCTAAAGTTGAAAAACAGGCAAAATATAAAAATAACTTACATATGTTTATAAATTTAAAATAACTTACATATGTTTATAAATTTTCCAATTTCAAATTGTGTAAATTGTTAATATTATATCACTGAAATAGGTTCAAATCGACCGAGAGACTTTTGAGGATCTCTTCACATTTTGGACTGCTATTAAGTAATCCATGTCAATTTTATCCAATTTAATCCATGACCAATTTTATATTTGGTCTCATCTGGAAATTTTGGGAGTGAATAAGGCCTAGAATCCTGGCCTTAGGGATTTTGGCCTGTTGATGAGGCAAATGAGAAACAAAACAGTGTAATAGCTGTCACAATAGAAGTATACATAGTATATTTCAGGACTACACATTAGGGCCACTGTGTTCTGATGGGGTTCAGGAACTCGGTGAGAGCACCCCCTAATATGAATGAAGAAGGAAATTAGAAATTAAATTATTCTGACAGGAGAAAAAGGCATTTCTCTTAAGGAGAACCATATGTGCAAAGGCCTGGAGGGATAAGTAAGTATAGTTCATTCAGTGAAACAGAAGTCGTGCCTTATGTCTGGAGTTCGTGGTTCCTAACATCTTAGGAGAAAGATGAGATTTGAATGGAAAGTAGTGGACACATTACAAAGACTTTGACTATCCTGTTGGATTTTCTCAAGATGGAAATGAGAAGCCAGAAGGAAATTAATAAAGAAAATAACAACGCTGTTGATCATTTCCTATGCATCATGCATTGTTGTATTAATGAATCCTTACAACTTTATTATGAGTAAAACTGAGGCACAGAAGTTCAATAATACTTCCTCATAAGCCAACTTGAGAAAATAATAACTCTCAGTCAGTAAGTACCGTGATTAATACTTAGACCCATTCTGTGACTCTGGGAGACTGAAACCATATTGTTCCAATATACTTCAAGGGAATGATTATATTTTAGGTAGAAATATAATTATTGTAGACTTGTGAAGGATAACCTGAGAAGAAAAGCCTGGAGACAAAAATATAGTAAGAATAGAGACTAGAGATCATCAGGAATTAAATGGAGGGACCTGATTGCAGTGTGCATAGAACAGAATAAATGAATTCCGTAAATATAGAAGCGAGAAAAATTGGCAAGAAAATTTGTGAGAGGAAAGATTCTATGATGACTCCCTGTCTTCGTAAGCATTATAGTGTCAGCAACCAGGAGGGAATGTCAATAGGAAATAGGCGTTGTGTTTACTAATTCAGGAAATACAGAAAGAGAAACAATGTTTGAGGGAGAAAGTTTATAAGTTCAATCTGTAAAACAGTGAATTGAAATTGTCCAGATATCCAAGAGGTTAGGCTAGCAACATATTTTTAATGAATGTTTCAGTGTCTCTCTAAGTAATGGCTCATCACACTGAAGAATGAGTGAGAATCATTCTTTGTACTGTTCTCTTTCCAATTCAAGTTGTAACCAAAATCAATCTCTTAGGACCCCACCTAAGTTCTCATGCCTGCATTTTTTCAACTTGGCTTATCACAAAAAGATAAATCTTCTCTCACTTCTGTTCTTGAAGGAAGCATGAATCATACTTAGTGGGGAAAATGCAGCATCGGGAGTCTTAAAACGTTGCATTCCTCAACTCTCCCATGTCTGCATTCCATTGACCTATTCTCCCTTGAAGTATATTTAAAAATAGGAGAAGACTCTTCCTTTCTGTCCTTTTAGTTCGAAACTCAATCTTATTAATTTAAGGAGTCTTTTATGGAATATTTACTATTTTTCAAAAACTAGATAACAGCAATCCACACTTTTATGATGGTAGTGCCTCCTTAAGAGAAAAATATTTTCATTATTTCCTCAACATTAAACAAAATAATTGCCTGTAGGTTAATTTACGTTCAGCCTTGACAAATCTGTTAGGTTTATTGGCCACTCTGGATGACAGTTGTTTTCATTGCTACAAAATGTGTCCTCATGTAGTTCACATTGAGTGTACCTCTAAAACACAAATATGATCCACCTTTTCTCTGAAATTTAATAATCTCACATGGTGCCACATTGTTAATAAGCAAAGTTTAACAGCAATTAAATAGCTAGAACTTTGGGTTTCCAGGTACCCTTTCAAATATTCCACACGTTGTTGCCTCAGATATATCACATTCTTTCTCATGTTTTGGCCTTTACTTAAGTTACCACCTCTGTTGGAATTTCCTGCTCAGGCAACACACAAACGTTTATCCCACTGGCATTTCGTACTTAGCTAACAAAGTCCAATTTAAATGTTAATTGACAGTCTCTCTCTGTAGTCTTCCTTGATCCCCTTTAGCAGAATTAATTGCCTCATATTCCAACATCACATTGTATATATCTCTATTACACTTTGTCTCTTACTGTATTAAAACTTAGGGTTTCCTAAACTGGTATTCTCAGAGAGTGGCTTAGAATTCTTTTTGAAAATGTTCTGAGTTTATGTTTTCATTTCAATAATAATTTAAAACAATAAATATCAGCATATTCTAAATCATCTGGTTGAGCATTTATAAGTTAGGGCTATAGCACAATTTAAATGTTGGTTTGCATTTGCATTTTTAATTATGTTGGGAATGTCATACTATTTTTATTGCTGTGTGTTAATGAGAAAAGAACATGGAACAGATTTAATATAGAAATGATACATTTCTCCCAAGTGAAGGTCTACAAACATCTCTGCATTGCCATATAAAGAAATTTGCTTGTAATTCAAGGAAAGAAAAGTAACAGGAGAATAGTATCATTAGTAATTTTTTGCTTCCTTTAAGACTTCACGTCATTGAAGGAAACAAATGTTATATGAAATAGTGACATTTCTAATTTTTGTTTGCTTTATGATTGTCCAAAAGTTAAAATACTGTTTATGGATATTTTACATATATATTTACATATATATACTTTTACATATATATACTATATATGAGTAAGCATATAACAAAATGAATTTATGTCATACATTTTAATTATTCTTTTTAATTTAAAATTGGTTTTAAATGGTTCGAGTTTGAGAAATAATATTCCTTTTTTATAGTTTTACTTTCTACTATATTAGAAGAAGTTATATAAACAAGAGAAGAAAACCCACTGCATTTATCAAAGTATTCTTGTATAAAGCACAATCCAAGGAATAAAGGACTCAATAACTTATTAAAATGCAATTTTTTTTCAAATTGTAGTAAAAAAACGTAACATATGATTTTCTATCTTAACCATTTTTAAGTACACAGTTCAGTAGTGTTAAGTATATTCACATTGCTGTCAAACAGGTCTTCATACTTTTTTATCTTGCAAAATGGAAACTCTATATCTGTTAAACAACAACTCCTCACTTCCCTCTTTTTCTAGCCCCTCGCAACCATTGTTCTACTTTCTGTTTTTATAAATTTGATGATTTTAGAATCTTCATATAAGTGTAATCACATAGTATTTGTCTTTTTGTGCCTGGCTTGTTTCACTTAGCATAATGTCCTCAAGATTCATTCATGTTATAGTATGCACCAGGATTCCTTTCTTTTTGATGGTTAAATAATATTCCACCATATGTATATACCACATTTTGTTTATCCACTCATCTCTCAATGGACACTTGGATTGTTTCCACCTTTTGGCTATTGTGAATAATGCTGCTATTAACATGAGTGTGAAATATCTCTTTTAGATCCTGCTTTCAATTCTTAATACACATATTTTATGCTAAGAGCTAAGTAGAGAACATTGCCATTTGCTGAGGATTATAGGACTGCTTTTAATCTTTCTTAGAGATCCTAGGTGCTTTTATTTTTAGAGGCAATACCTGACATCATATGGAAGATATTCACAAGCCTCCACATTTGACATTAAAATGATTTTTAATTGGTGAATAATTATTGTTTATTATGTTGTTTTTAAACTTATTTGGCTACGTGTCACTAACTTAATTTATGAGTGGCAGTGATTCTAGTCATTGCACGTTCTTAGGAATTTTTATAGAAGAAGGCTACCTAACCTGTAAATTGTTTTTAAATGTTATGAAATTTTGATGGTACTAAACATAACAATTAACAGAGTGGATATGCTGTGTTATGGATGTTATATTAAATATTGTCTTCAATGTCCCCCCCCCCCATATTTTGAGATACTACAATTTTTCCATGTCTCAAGCATTCCTTAAGTCACTTGATGAGATCATAGGCCCTAAGTATCCGACCTGTAATACTTAATGAATAATACACAACTCAGGACTAAATATTCCACCTCTAAAACTATTCATAAAAAATCAGCCTCTAGGTTTTAATATGGATCATGAGAAAATAAACGGACTTAGAAATGGCCCTTTCTGAGTGCTTTGTGTCTAAAGTAGTACCTTGAGTAATATAAATTTTTAAAAGTTAAAATATATGTTGGCGTCAATCAAGTGACCAGAGGAACTATCTGTTTTAATAAGTTGAAACCATTATCAAGTGAGAAGAATTGGAATGCAGAAAAGAGGAGGTGGGTGACTATGGGGACAAAAATGTCAAGAAATCCATTATCGAGAAGTTTACAGCAACTTTATGCCCAATTTCTGCAAAGATCCCTCTTGCCCTTCCTTTATCTGCTCTCCAAACGCCGTATTTCATGACTGGTTCTTCAGCGACAAAAGAGAAAATCTTTATCTCAAAACAAAAGAAAAATGGAAATAATTGCTCTCTGGGATTTCAATTAAACATATGTCTTCAGAAGGCATTTAACTTTTGAAACACCCTGAGTCATGTAATACTTGTTCAAAGTGTCATAAAAACATAACCTGGTTTTCACATTCTGAAAGAATGGTCGTCCAGTAATTAGTGCTGTAACTGCTACTTGCAACTGTTCTAAATAGATAACTGTGAGGCTTGTGTATAAACTAAACTGACTTTCAGTGGGAATCCTTTAAAAACATACAGCAAGCAATCACACCAAAATATTAATTTGTACTCAAACACTTGATACCACAAGACACTCCAATTATCTCTCACTGTTTAAGCCAGAAGACTTTTCCAGGCTTTAAACTAGTCTCTGAAGAGATTTAATTCAATATTACTTACCCCAAAGCAGCCAGTATGCTCTTTTTGACCTTCAGGTCAATGACAGTGACCCAAATGAGACCCAATCAAATCCGAATATGTACACCCCTAAAGAACTATTCGCAAGGTTAATTGTATCTTGGTTCTATTTGCTGAATAAGGAATCAATTAAAGAGAATAGCAAAAGAAGTCATAAGTGGCTCCATGAACTATATAGACATGAGCCATATAGGTTTCCTTTGCTTCTGTTCTTCATAGATCTCTACACAGAAGGAAATAAGCTGATGGCAGAGACATTCTTATGCTTTCGGTCATCACTGTCATCAACATGTATTTTATTCTTGCATCAAATTGTTTCATTTGTCAATTCACAGAGGCCAAAACATATAACTAAAACTATTTAGTTATTGGTCATAATGGCAAAATTCCTTGGACTTGAATGCTATCATAGTATGTTAACTCACTAAATTGTAGGGAAATATGATACTAATATGTTTAGTTGTAACAACAGGGTATGGGAGTGGGAAGAGAAGTTTACAGCAAAAGTACTGCTCTGTACTAACTTTCAAGGTTTATTTGTGGGCATTGAAACAAATTATATCAAAATAGTACAATTTATAATGGAAGATAATAGAAAGAGGAAACAGGTGCTTTCTATTGGTAATACAAAAAAATAAAAATAAAAAGCCAGGATACCTAAATACTTAACATGATATTTAGTCACAGAATATAGTAATACAAAAGAGAGGGAAACTCATTTTACAAACCTTAAAATAATGGCAATAACCATTTGAGGGCTTAGTACTGCCAAACATTGCGCTAGGAGTTTTATAAGCATTTGTTCATTCCTCATCACAATCCATGAGGAAACTGAGGCTCAGAGAATTTAACTTCTTCATCCAGGGTCAAAAAGAAAGGAAAATGAAGGAGCTCAAATTAGAAATATTGCAGCGAATTCTTTATATTTAATGGCATCCTCTATCCATCTATTACAAGACATAGTTATAAAATAATCCAATGAGTATGAAAACTCAGAATAAAATGATAACTGGTGCAGAACAGGTGATTCTTGAGGCCCCCGTTGAGACTGAGTGTTGAGACTTTAGAACCAGAGGCAGCAGTGAGCCAGAGCCAATGATTAAGGCCTTAGTCAACTGAGGGCCTTCACATGCTTGTGATTGGGGCCAGGTTTCTCTATGCACTTAACAGGTGTTGATTATCCAGAATTGCCAGTATTAGCAGTTCCTTGGCTTACTTTGGACAAAGCAAATGTGACATTTCACCAAGTCATCTGGGAAGAGATGAAGTTGGAGACTTTTGGCATAAATATCTGTTTCCTGCATATGGCTACAATAATGAAGAGGAATCCTGACTTTCTTCTCTGAAATGTACCAATAGTGGCATTTTGGGTCAAAAATTGTGTTTGCTCATTCTATCATAAGGGTGCCCTTTACCTATATATTTATCCATCCATCCATCCATCCATCCATCCATCCATCCATCCATCCATCCATCCTTTATGGAGCTGAGCTCTATGAGGCCCTTAGCTTGAGTGTGGTTTGTGTGTATATGTTGGCAGGATTCTAATAAACCTAAACTTGCTCATTGCAAACCTCATTCTGATAATCTTCTAATTTTAAACTTCTTTAAGAATTCTCCCTAAATCCTTTGCTTTGCTTAGGTTAGATATCTAACTCCTTTTGAAACAGTAACTGCTATGTTCAATCCAATCTTTTAGGGAGACTTGGAGCTTTTTATCCATTTCTTTCAATAACAGGCCCTCTCCTCCTCCCTACTCAACCCCTTCACTTTCCCCATCCAAATCTCACTGTGTTTGGAATAAATGAAGCCAGAGCATCTGTTGTTCTATTCTGTGGTTTCTCCAAAGTAGTTTCTTTCATAGTAGCTCTATTGCTGTTCCCATGCAGCAGCTTCTGCTATCAAAGGTGCTAAGCCTGGACTTGAACTATCAGGATCAACCTTTGAATCAGAATTAACTATCAAAGCAAGGTAAACATTTACTAGGCCTCATGAGGGACACTGGCCTTCAGAATAATTCTTCCCTTGAAGAACCATGACTAACACATTGAAAAGGCAAAACAAAGAGGCACAGAGCATGTTAAACTTGTTAAATAGTAGTGCTGTTCTGTGATCAATGGCTATGGTGGGAAGGCAAGACAAAAAGATGCAATATTAAAGAAAGGAGACAGAAGCAGGAACACATGTGCTCATCATTATGATACAGACTCTTGAACTATGAATAACCACCTAAAACTCGAGCTCTTCCTTTATGGCTTAACATGTCTCTTTTTGGCTTTTTGCTTCCTTGAGTCTTCCAGGCAGGATCAAATAAGCTGTATAAGAGAGATTGTGGCCGAGCACAGTGGCTTACGCTTATAATCCCAGCATTTTGGGAGGCTGAGACAGGCGGATCAACTGAGGTCAGGAGTTAGAGACCAGCCTGTCCAACATGGTGAAACCCCGTCTCTACTAAAAATACAAAAATTAGCAGGGCATGGTGGTGCATGCCTGTAGTCCCAGCTACTCTGGAGGTTGAGGCACGATAATTGCTTGAACCTAGGAGGTGGAGGTTGCAGTGAGCTGAGATCGCGCCATTGCACTCCAGCCTGGGTGACAGAGCGAGACTCCATCTCAAAAAAAAAAAAAAAAAGAAAAGAGAGAGAGATCATCATGTTATCTCAGATGATTCAAGGTAAAATGTAGGTTACATTTATTGAAGGACTTAGTGTGTTCTGGTAAGGACTCCTCAGTTGTGATGTATGCCCAAGACATATGTGTATTTGTGCCTCTTTAGATTGCATCCTGCTGAGGCCAGCAAGAGTGAGAGGATGCCTAGAGTTTTAAGTACCAAAGAAACTTTTCAAAATGTGTTTGTTCCCCCGGTATAGACACCCTTATCATCACAGAGTTGTTCTTATTAAGTATCAATTTTACATGACTGTGTTGAGGCCAAGCAAAAAGCCCATGACCTATACCTTCTTGAGCTTGATTACTAGGCTCTTCAAAAAGGTCGCTCATTTGTTGTCCCTTTTATGAAGTATGTGCTCCCGAGAAGTAGTTAGCGTCAAGCAGCTGTTATTAATCGACTCTCTGAAGGATTTCCCTGGAAGCTGGCCACCTGCTGAGGTGACTGAATTTCCCAAAGGGAACTAAGCTAAGCCTGAGCCTGGCTTCCACGTTCCTTATTGTATCCTTAAGCATGCCTGAATTAAAATGAGTCCTATGCAGCTGGGCAGATCATGCAGAGCTGCTTCATTTCATATGTAATGGAGCAGAGTACAGACTCCACTCCACAGCCTCAGTCTGACCCCCATGAAGCACTCTTCCAACTCTTGTCAGGCTTGCCAAGGGAGGTATTTCCAACTATTAATAGATTTTTCTTCCACTAGGTGACTGGGTGGCCCTAGACCAAGGAAATAACTTTGATTTTGCATTTTGTTGTTGTTTTTGAGATGGAGTCTGGCTCTGTTGCCCAGGCCGGAGTGCAATGGTGCTATCTCAGCTCATTGCAACCTCCACCTCCCAGGTTCAAGCAATTCTCTTGCGTCAGCCTCCCAAGCAGCTGGGATTACAGGCGCCCACCACCTTGCCTGGCTAATTTTTAGTATTTTTAGTAGAGATGGCATTTCACCATGTTGATCAGGTTGGTCTTGAATTCCTGGCCTCAAGTGATGTGCCTGCCTCGACCTCCCAAAGTGCTGAAATTACAGGTGTGAGCCACCACGCCCAGCCAATTTGACTCGTAGAGTTTAATAAAATAATAATTAGAAATTTTTTCCAGAGAAGCAACATAATTTGACTTTCATTTTAACAGAATTTTTTAAATTTGGGGGCAGGGAGTCTCTATTTCTCTTACTAAAATTCCAATTTAAACTAACATTATTTAATGCTTGGACCACTCACTGCTTCTACTTATTCCACTTCCATTGCTGTATTGATTCCCTTGCCCCCAGCATTTTATTAGGAAAATTTGCAAAGATACAGAAAAGTTCAAATAATTGTATAGTTAAAAACCTGTGTACACACCACCTAGATTCTACAATTAATGTTCATATTGGTTTTGAAAATTCGTAAGTTAGATCAATCACACTATTCCCCCAGTGAACATCTTCTTCCTAACTCTGAATAATATCCTGATTCTTTGCCATAGTCCAGCAGACTCATCCTGATTTGATTTCTAGCTACCACATTACGTCATTTCTTCCCCCTCCCCACCTCTGTTGCTGGTTTCCAGCCACACTGCCATTTTTTATATTCCTCAAAAACATCGAGTTTATCCCTGACTCAAGGCCTTTATTTTCTCTCTTCTACTAGATCTTCCCCTGATCATCTCCTTCTCCTCCTCCTGGTCTCAGTCTAAATGCACCTCCTCAGAAACCCTTCCATTGCCTTCGCCTTTGAAATATATTTTCTGCACCCTGTCCCTCTCTACCATGCTACCATACTTGATTGCATTTATAGCACCTACCACTCTGAGATTGTCTTACATGTTTGCCTTTGTGTTAATTTCCCTTTATCTCATTTCATTAAAATGTTAGCTCTATGAGAGCAAGGCCCTTGTCTGTTTTAAACATATCCAAATTCCAGTGGCTTGAGCAGGACCTAATTCATAGAAAAAGTTGAATTTGTTGAGTGATTTATAAATGTCATGAAAAGTAGTTCTTTTGTACAGGTAAGTAAAATCTACTATGTCGGGAGAAACAAGCAAAATACCAACAGAAAAACTCTAAGACCTGGTACACATAGCCACCCTTGTGGTAATTGTCTTCAACTGTTCATAGGAGTACTTCCAAGGAAGGAGTAAACTAGGCATCAGTTAACACAGATGACTCACTGTAAATGTGGCACCCTGACCACTGTAGACAGAGTCACATTGAACCTACGTCTAGAACACCTATCAACAATGCAAAAGGAAGAGCTACACACACATAGGATAACACTTGACTTTTCTTTATTGCATGACCTAAAAAACGATGCAATATACAAGGATGCTGAGTTGGTAGCATTGCATTTTCTGTAAAATATTTCTAACGTATTGCAACTATTTTGAATATATCCTTTTGAGTTCAATATGACAGTTTTTCCAGATAGTTTGGAGGGTATTATTTTCTTCTTCATAACCTTCTTCCTAGCACCATGGAAAGCTTCAGGATAAAAAGAGAACTGTGGTGATTTTCCTACTAATTAGTTGCTCTTATTAAAAAAAGCAAGATAATTGATTTTAGGATGCACTACCCCTTATTAAGACCTAATTAAGCTGTATATCAAAGACTAATTAAATGGCATTATTCCATCTCACTGATGAGTCTTGATGTTTGGTGAATAGATTTGGGTGGTAGATGAATACTCTTGGAATAGATTTCACAGCCAGACAGATAAATATAGACTAAGAAGCTGAGTAAAGGGAATTTTCGATTATCTAAACCTAACACACTTATTGGTATTTCTTCAGGCTGACAGCTTGAAATGCACAAAATGAAACATTTAAATACAAACTCAGCACTGTGGTAGGACAGGAAACAATGAAACAGTATCTTTGGAAAACTGCAAATTTAAATACACCATTAATCCTTCTAGTGAAATGGTGGACTGGAGAATCGAAAGCATTTCTTTCTTTCTTTTTTGACTTATTTTGATGAGTAAGCTACTCAGTCTTGATGAACATCAGATAAGAGCTCACTTATACTAGTAATGGATATCTGAAAACCTGAGATATCTGAATCATTTTTGAGGTTGCCAATCACCATCCTTGCTAAATTGTTCTGTGGAATGCAATTGTCAGGGAGAGAGAGGAAAGGGGGTGGAATGGTAAGAGAATATTATCATAGTAAGGAATTGGAATATACTATGAGCCCAGAGATTGATGGAAGTGGAGCCTGGCCAAATAGAAAATGCCCTATAAAAATATTTGGAGAGTAAGAGCTATTAATAAGATGAATGTTTTTCAGGATTTTATTCTACACTAGAAATGAATATTTTCAACAGCAAATCAATCTCTGATAAATCAATATTTTATTTGACAAAGATCATATACTAACATTTCAAATGTTATGTAAATCCATTCATTGCTGTAATCCTATCAAGTTAAGCATGTACTGCCAAGGCTGTGTCTTAAGGCGGTGTCATTGTGACAATAGAAACTCATCATCCCATTTAATCTATGAGGTCACAACCTTCTTGGATTATGGTGGATAGTCTCTCAAATTCTTTGGTGCTTCATAATGCAAAAGCTTTTGAATAAATCACAAGATATTTGCAGAAAGTAATGATTTCACTATACAGCTTGGCTATATTTGATTGTCTTTAATAGTTACCTTCACTGGCAGTACAATAATTTGCAAACAATAACATCAGTCATATGTCACTTCTGCACTCATTACTGGCCAAGGTATAACCCCTAGAACCAATAACCCATACTGCTGAACATCTAAATTAAATGTCACTCTGTACTAAGGGCAGGTTTTTCATTTGAAACTGAACTTTTGTCAACTATAACATGTATTTTGAATTATCTGAAGGACATCTGCCCTTGAACTCTTTTTGCATTAATACACACACAAGTGGAAATAGCTGCAACATCACTAAGAAAAGCCGTGCAAATAGAGAACTGAAATCTCTATTACAGAAAAATGAGTAAACAATTTATTGTTAGCTGTCTTTACAGAACTCATGGACAGGAGATAAAGGGTTTGACTCAAGTATTTCAAGGTTGTCAGCCTAGGTACTTTGTTAGATTTAATAGAATTTATAATATGTAGATTCCTTTCTAGATGAAGCTTCTACTTTCTTTTTCATTTCATATAAAAATTGTGGATTTTAACATAATTTTGGATAATTATGCACTGCATATGATTGCTGAAAAACAATCAATTAGTAACAACTATAATTCTTTTTTTTTTGTTTTGCATTCCATGCTTGTTTTTACTAATAGAGGTGGAACATGAAGGAACAGTGAGGATAGAGGGTTTAATTAATCTCTTGGGCTTTCTGTCTCAATGGAAACAAATATTTCATGAGCCCAAATTATGAATCCATAAACCTAATCAACAACATTAATAAAATAGAGAGTGAGACACATTTATTAAGTTCTCTGAGATCCTTAAAAGAAAAATACTATTGATATGGTGGGAGAAATATCAAAGATCATGGAAGACAATGACTTTGATAGAAATTTTAAGGCAATAAGGAAAGAAAGGGCACTTTATGGCAATTGTGGACATCCAGTCCTCTGACAATTGGTTCACAACCATTAAACTGAACATAAACTTATCTAACTGCCCAGGAAATTATTGTTGAGCATTAACCTTGAATCTGAGCTCATTTGGAAACAGAAAGTCTCAAGGTACAAAGAAAAAACATCTGTTTGTACTCATTACCTCAATGTTAAAGACACAGCAGTCCTTTTCCATAGATGATATTGAACATATTAGAAGACAAGACAGAAGGTATTACACGTTCAACCTAAATTTTGAAGTACAATGGTATTTCAGTGCATTAAGAATGGGTAGTGCATCATAGTAAAATTAGCTAGCCAATATATGCCTTGGTTTAGGAAAATAGGAAAATTGGCATTCATTTATGAGCATTTTGGGAATTCTGCATGTCTAAATAATCAAAATATAACGTGTATGATTGTCTTACTGCCACTGGCTTCTGCTTGGTGGCAGAGACAGATGACAACAGAATCTGTGCTCGATTTGGGGGTTTTCAGTTTGTTCCAAACCAATTCCATCTCAGCAAATGCAATGACTTGTAAGTCTTATTGATAGTAACTTGAGTGGGTGGTAGTCCCCATCTTTGAGACTTGAAGTGACTCCTCTGAAGTGTGTAATAAAACTATGAAAATAAAAAAATTAGAAAACACTTTAATTTGTCTCTTTTAATTGCTGAATGGAGTAAATTTATTTCTTTAAATTGTGTGAGAAACATATTCCAGACACTGACTCCTTTATAAATTATTCTTCTTTAATCTTTTTCCTTTCTTTCCTTATTAATTACTTGTCTTATTTCTCCTATTGTTGAATTATGAGTTTTCATCTTGGAAAACCGGAAAGGAAATGTGGTCCTTTATCAGGCATAGTAATACTAAAATCTCTTTAAAATATGAACTCTTACCTTTTTTTCTTCAAAATTTCTGAGTACTTTCTTCCTAGTTTCTGCTGGTATTAATCTGGCAGTTTCTTTAGATACACATAGTATCTTCCATAATGACTTCTGATCTCAAGTAATTAATGGTCTTTGTTGCTTAATGCAAAGCCTTGTGTATGATATGTGTTTAATGATCATCAATTGATTGAATTAATGAACCCAAAATTTACTGTAGCCAGAAATTAATATTAGGAAATAAATTTCTAAAGCTACTCAGCATTGTCTACGGTTGAAGTATGTACTTCCTTTCTTTCGGGAATATGAGATGCTTTGTGAATGTATCCTTGATCCCAGTGATTTTCAAATGATTTTGAATGACCCACTGTGCAAAACATTTTGCATGATGACTCACTGCTCACACATATACATACATACATATATAAACACATGCCCAGCACACATACATGTACATATATTATTAAAGCAAAAATCTAATGAAACAATACTTATCCTTACATCTTTGTGGTAGGCAGAATTCTAAAATGACTCCCAAAGAGTCATGCTCTTGTATAATCCCCTCTCCTTGAGTGGGGGCAATAACTGTGAGTATGATCGGATACTACCCCTTGATTAGGTTGCTTTATAAAAAGGTCATGGGATTTTTTTCAGATGTGATTAAATTCTCTAGTTGCTAATCAGTTGATTTGAGGCTAATCGAAAGGGAGATTATCCCTAGTGGGCCTGACCTAAGCTGGTGACCCCTTGAAAAGAAGGTCTGGAGATGGAAGCCTTGTAGAAGCCGCAGATTCTCTCCTGCTGGCATTGAGGAAGCAAGGCATTATTAGTTCTGAAGAAAATGAAGTCTGCTTCCAACCACGTGAGCTTCAAAGAAGACCTCAAGCCTAAGGTAGGACCCATCCCAGGCCAATACTTTTATTGAATCCTTGTAACACTCTGAACAGAGGACTCAGCTAACCTGTGCCCCAACACCTGATCCATGGAAACTGTGAGATAAGAAAGTAATGTTTTAAGCTGCTCATTGTGGTAATTTGTTACACAGCAGAAGAAAACAAAAACAATCCAATTTCATTTTTCTTTTTTAAAATGCCAGTCAGAGTCAACTAAATTAATAGCATGTCAAATACTTATGAGTCACAACCCACATTTTGAAAGTCACAGCTGTATCTTAAAGCCATATTTTCTATGGTGCTGAAATACTTATGAATAGAGGTTCATTCTTTTGAGTTAAAGAATTTTGTGTTTTAGGAACTCTCATACACATTATTGGCCATTATCATCTTCAGTATATAATTTGTTCATTTCCTAAAAGCTCCTTTTGCAAGCTATGTTCAAGGTATTAATATTATACTGGGCATGGTTCACAGTAATGAACAAAATATACATGGATGATCATGCCTTAGAACTTCAAGTGTGAGAGCTTGAAAAGAGACAAAAAAGCAAATGAATTTAGTTATAATCGCTCAATGAATATTTATTAAGTGTGATTTCAACTATTTAATATATTTTCAGTTGGGGGGCTAATCATAGGATAAATATGTACATTATATAGCCATATTTTGAACAGTTATGATATCTAGTGGGAAAAATAATATCTGTAAATAAGTAAGTATTCTACAGCAATTATGTACACGGTATTACCAGAGCAAAAGATATGGTAGAGAGCTATTAACTCTACCTAGGGAATCCAGGGAGGACTTCTAAGAAGAGGTGACATTTTATAGGGAATCTGTGAATGGGCAGGATCTGCAAAATATGTCCAGGTGTGGAAGAATTTTATGTGAATGTTGTGACCATTTGCCTGAAGATCTTGCTAAGGAGTTTGGGCTTTGAGGCAATACAAATTACTGAAGATTTTTTTGTTTTCATAGCAGGAGTGTGGCACAAAATTATATCCCTGAAACACACGTAAATTATGTTAAAACGGCACTACCAGCACGAAGAGAATAAAGGTCAGTTACAAGTCACTTAAGTTCTTCAGGGGTAGACATAGGAAGAGATGGAGAATTAGTTCTGGTGTTTGGGTTATTGTCTAAGGTAGGACTGACTAAAGTAGAAAGCTTTAGGTACCCAAATCGAAGGAAACTACAATAAATACCTGGATGGGAGGAGTCCAAGCTTGGTTGTATATTTTTTTCAAAAAGATTGTTTTAAATCAAACACTCAAAGTCAACTTTATAAAACATGCTGCTCCTGAGGCCAGCCTGTATGGTTCCATTATTGTTGAAACAGCAACACTCTTCTCCTGTTCTATACTATTTATGACACAGAAAATTCTGGGAAATGAAGAATAACCACAGAAACAAGGTCAAAATAAATATCACACAGTTCACGCAATTTACTTACAGGAGTCTGATTCTTAGGTTCCTTCTAAAGTCTATTTATCCTTGTTTTAGATACAATTCTATTAAGCTTTGTTGTTTGCTTTTCTAAGATAGGGAAGGTTAGGATCACCACATTGTGCCTTTAAAGCAGTGCTACTGTCAGTTTTCAAAGGCTTTGCATTTTATTCCGTAAGGAAGAATAAAGAACCTTTGCTGTATGTGTGTGAGTGTGTGTGTGTGCACATGCCTGTGTATGTGGTTGGGGGCGGGGTAATTAGTTCTATCTATCCAGAGAAAAGTTCTTTAAAAAAATTAATGTCTCTTCTGGAATAAATTTAGTGATTAATTTTTAATATATGGAAAAATATTAACCAGTTGTTTTGCATTCAGCTCAGGGCACCGATTTGCTGTTGGTACACTTCTCCTTTGCAAAAGAAAAAGAGAGTCTCATGAAGAATTTTGTAATCATGATCACTTCCAAAAATAATAGCCTTTGATGGTTTTAATAGGTTTTTGTTCAGGAGTTAATAATGTTTAGAATTATTTCTATTTCTCTGATTTAATTTTTAAAGGCACTATTTTTCTAGAGATGGAAGAACACCAATTCAGAAGGAATCACTGTGTAAATAATTCACATCACAAAAATATCCCTGTTAAAAGCTTCAGAGAGGATCCTGTTTCTTCTCTGAAACTAGAGGCAATTCTAAATCAAGAACAGCTCTAGATGCCCACTGGTTCTGAGTATAATGATTGCTAACATCCAAACATGTTAGAAAGCTGGGTGGCTGAATTAGACCTCAAATATCCCAGTGTGCAGAATTTTGACCTCGATCAAGACATGTATAGCTAGTCCTGAAAGTCCCTTTAAAAATACTCCTCCATTGCTTATTGTTTAAGGATCATGATTCATTTGATTTTTTAACAGATTTTCACTATTAAAAATGCAAATATTGACTATGAATAAAGCATTAATATCATTTAAATTTGTACCATGTCTGGCCATATGAAATTAATCATCTAGACCACCTAATTCTTTGTCATCATATTATTTTCATAATAAATGTTACAATTCCTATACCTTATTCTGAATACAAATACATGTACCCATGTAAAATAGAGCCATTCTTTTTTATATCTTCAACTTTTATTTTAGATTCAGAAGGCACATGTGCAAGTTTGTTACATGGGTATATTGCATGATGCTGAGGTTTGGGATGTGGATGATCCCATCATACATATAGTGAGCATAGTACTCAACAATTAGTTTTCAACCTTCCCCCCTCTAGTTGTCTCCAGAGTTTATCGTTCCTATCTTTGTGTCCCTGAGTGCCCACTGTTTAGCTCTCACTTATAAGTAAAAACATGTGGTACTTGATTTTCTTTTTCTGCATTAATTCACATAGGATAATAGCTTCCAGCTGCCCCCATGCTGCAAAGGACATGATTTTAATCTTTTTTATGACTGTATAATATTCCATAGTAAATATGTATCACATTTTCCTTATCCAATCCACCATCGATGGGCACCTAGGTTGATTACATGTCTTTGCTATTGTGAATAGTGCTACAATGAACATACGAGTGCATATGTCTTTTTGGTAGAATGATTTCTTTTCTTTCAGATATATACTCAGTAATGGGATTGCTGGGTCGAATGACAGTTCTTTTTTAAGTCCTTTGAGAAATCTCTAAACTGCTTTCCACAGGGGATGAACTAGTTTACACCAACAGTGTATAAGCATTCCCTTTTCTCCACAGACTCACCATCATCTGTTGTTTTTTGATTTTTAAATAAAAGCCAGTCTCATTGGTGTGAGTTGATCTCACTATGGTTTTGATTTGATTTGATAATTAGTGAAGATGAGCATTTTTTCATTTTTGTTGGCCACTTACATATCTTTTTTTGAGAAGTGTCTGTTCATGTCTTTTGCCCACTTTTTAATAGGGTTATTTTTTATTTGTTGCATTATTCAAGTTTCTTATAGATTCTGGATATTATCTTTGTTGAATGCATAGTAGGTGAATTTTTTCTCCCATTCTGTAGGTTGTCTGCTGACTCTATTGATAGTTTCTTTTGCTATGCAAAGGCTCTTCAACTTTAATTGGGTCTCACTTGTCAATTTTTGTTTTTGTTGCAATTGCTTTTGAGGACTTAGTCATAAATTATTTTTCAAAGCCAGTGACCAGAATGGTGTTTCCTAGGTTTTCTTCTAGAATTCTTACAGTTTGAGGTCTTACATGGAAATCTTTAATTCACCTTTAGTTAATTTTTGTATATGGTGAAAGGAAGGGATTCAGTTTTATTTTTCTACGTATAGCTACCCAGCTATCCTAGCATTATTGACTGAATAAACAGTCCTTTTTCCATTGCTTATTTTTCTCAACTTTGTCAAATATCAGATGGTTTTAGGTGTGCAGCTTTGTTTCTGTGTTCTCTGTTTTCTCCATTTGTCTATGTGTCTGTTTGTGTACCAGTACCACACTGTTTTGGTTACTGTAGCTTTATAGTGTATTCGGGTAATGTGATGTCTCTGGCTTTGGTCTATTAGGATTGGTTTGGCTGGTCTCTTTTTGTTTCATATGAATATTGGAATACTTTTTTCTAGTTCTGTGAAAAATGACATTGGTAGTCTGATAAGAATGGCTGTTAATCTGTGGATTACTTTGGGTAGTATGGTCACTTTAGTGATATTGATTTTTCCAATTTGTAAGTATGGAATGTTTTCTCATTTTTCTGTGTCATCTATGAGTTCTTTCAGCAGTGCTTTGTAGTTCTCCTTGTAGAGATATTTCACTTCCCAATAAGATGTATTTCCAGGTATTTCACTTTTTTGTATGTGGCTACTGTAAGTGGGATTGCATTCTTAATTTGGCTCTCAGCTTGAATCTTACTGGTATGTAGAAATGCTACTGATTTCTGCACACTGATTTTGTATACTGAAACGTTATTGAAGTCGTTTATTGGTTCCAGAAGCTTTTTTGGCAGAGTCTTTAGGGTTTTCTAGGTATAGAATTATACCATCAGCAAAGAGAGAGTTTAAGTTCTTTTTTGCCTGCTTGGATACTTTTTATTTCTTTTTCTTGACTGATTGCTCTGTCTAGGACTTCCAGTACTATGTTGAGTAGGAGTAGTGAGAGTGGGAATCTTCGTCTTGTTCCAATTTACAAGGGGAATGCTTCTGGCTTTTGCCCACTCAGTATGATGTTGGCTGTGGGTATGTTATAGATGGATCTTATGACTTTGAGGATGTTCCTTCTATGCCTAATTGTTGAGGGTTTTTATCATGAAGAGATGCTGGATTTTTATCAAAGGCTTTTTCTGTGTCTATTGAGATGATCACATGGTTTTGTTTCTAATTCTGTTTATGTGATGAATTACATTTATTGTTTTGTATATGTTGACATGATCTTGCATCTCAAAAATGAAGCCTATTTGATTGTAATGAATTAACTTTATGATGTGCTACTGGATTTGGTTGGCTAATATTTTGTGGAGGAATTTTGCATCTATGTTCATTGGGGATATTGGCCCATAGTTTTCTTTTTTCATTGTGTCCTTGCCAGGTTGTTATCAGGTTGGTGCTGGCTTCATAGAATGAGTTTAAAAGGAGTTCTTCCTTCTTGATTTTTTGGAATAGTTTCAGTAGAATCGGTACCAGCTCTTTTTTGTGTGTCTAGTAGAATTTAGCTGTGAATCTCTCTGATCCAGGGCTTTTTTTGGTTGATATAGGCTTTTTATTAATGATTCAATTTTGGAACTTGATATTGGTCTGTTCAGTGTTGCAACTTCTTCCTGATTCAATCTTGGGAGGTTGTGTATTTCCAGGAACTTATCCATTTCTTCTAGATTTTCTAGTTTGTGTGCATAGAGGTGTTCACAACATTCTCTGAGGAGCTTTTGTATTTCTGAGGGATCAATTACCATATTTGTCATTTCTGATTGTGCTTATTTGGACCTTCTCTCTTTTTATTCTTTGTTAGTCTAGCTAGTGGTCTTTCCATTTTGTGTATACTTTTAAAGAACCAATTTTTGGTTTTGTTGATTCTTTGTATGGAGTTTTGGGTCTCAACTCCAAGAACCATTTTTTAAAAGTCTGTAAGTCATGAACCCAGGCAAAACAAGATGCACCTGTATCCAAAGATTTTATTATAACTCAGTGTGAAGCTATTGAAACTTTGTTTTAGTGAAAGAAAAATGTGAGGACTTTAGATCATAAGAGATGTTTTGTATATCTTAATATAAGAGCATGTCTTAATCATTTAAATTATGTATCACATTTATTCCTTCAATCAAAATTTACCAAGCACCCAAAGCTTAGGTGGAATAAAAAACAAACAAACAAACAAAAAAGAATAAAATATAACAAAAAGAAAAAGCTGGGAGGTGGGTCTCTTAGTAATGCCCATCAGAGTGGTAGGTCCCTCTCCCAGACGTGGAGTCTGTAGTTTTCATTACTTTTATACCATTGGATAATTTGTGAATATTTTATAAAGTTGAGGATCAAATAGAATTGATTTTTTTTTGCTTTGTTTATAATTGCTTTGATGTACTTTTCTGTGCTCTACTATTTCTGAGAAATGTATTTTATTTTTTAACCTTTGGAACATTTATTTTGGGACAGTTGACAACAATAGTGTCCCATGCCCCTGCATCATGGCAGCCCTCCCCTCACTGTGCACTTACCAATCTACCACTCAGAAGTGGCTCCCAGATAAGGAAGCTGTGTGAATTTGTCCAGTAATTAAGTTTCCTTGTGCCTTTGTTTCTCATGTGTGAAATGAAGATTCTATTATTTGCTTCAGGCTGTTGATTGGAGATTTAAAATAATTTGTACTGCATTTAGCACAAGGCCTGGCACAAGGTAAATGCCTTATAAATATTGCTTATTAGTAGTAGTACAGTTAACCCCTGAACTGCAGGGGTAAGGGGTGCTGGCCTCTGTGCAGTTGAAAATCCATGTACAACTTTTGACTCCCAGAAAGCTTAACTACTAATAGCTTACCACTGACAGAAGCCTTACTGATAATATAAACAGTCAATTAACACATATTTTGGATGTTACATGAATTATGTGCTGTATTCTTATTTTAAAAAGTAGGCTAGAGAAAAGAAAATGTTATTAAGAATATCATAAGAAAGAGAATATGTATTTACTATTCATTAAGTGGAAGTGGGTCATCATGAAGGTCTTCCTCCTTGTAGACTTTATGTTGAGTTGGCTGAGGAGGAGAAGATGAGGATTAGTCTGGCTGTCTCAGGGGTAGCAGAGGCGAAAAGGGTGGAGAAGGTGGAAGAGGAGGCAGGAGAGGCAGGCACATTGATGTAACTTTTATTGAAAAAGAAAAACAAGCCCAGGCGTGGTGGCTCACTGCTAAAATCCCAGCACTTTGGGAGGCCGAGGAGGGCAGATCACCAGGTCAGGAGACCAAGACCATCCTGGCCAACATGGCAAAACCACATCGCTACTAAAAAAGATACAAAAATTAGCTGGGCATGGTGGTTCATGCCTATAATCCCAGCTACTTAGGAGGCTGAGGCAGAAGAATCACTTGAACCAGGGAGTTGGAGGTTGCAGTGAGCCGAGATTGCACCACTGCACTCCAGCCTGGCAACAGAGCGAGACTCCATCTCAAAAAAAAAAAGAAAAGAAAAGAAAAAGAAAAACAAGTATGTAACTGGACCTGTGCAGTTCAAGGCTATGTTTTCAAAGCGTCAGATGTACTTTTTATGATAATAGGGCATGGGATCTGGCCTCAAGTAGTTCCCAATTAGTAAGGAAACCAGGCATGTGTGCAGTGAAATGGCAGCATTTGTACATTTAATGAAAATGAATCCAAACATATATGCCAAAGAAAAAAATTTTTGTTTTAAACTCTACCATTTCCCCTCCTTACCTTAAATTAGACTTTATAGTCTATTCTCCAATAAAGGAAAGTTATAAATGAAATACAGAGTAAAAAGAGAGTTAAGTTTTGACTTTGAAACTACAAGGACCTTGGTCTAGGTGACTTACATTCACTCCCTTTGCAGGGTAACTTGTTACTTTTCCAGTTAACGAGACAGAATACTTTTAACTGCTAACAGTGGGTTCATCCATGGGATTTGCTGTGACCAATAGAATGAGGCAGAAATTGCAGTGTGACAGTTCTAAACTGAGACCTTAAAAGGATCCTTCATGTCTATTTGGCCTCTTATGGTTTTGACATCTCATAAGAAGATCATGCTGAAGGAAACCAGAATATTTCACCCCAAAATATGACTAAAGTAAAGCAGCAGCCTCAAGGTGTCTTTGACTTTGCCCTCCACCCCTGTCTTTCAACCCTTTGTCTCTCTCCCAAAGCACAGGATAAGGCTATTCTCTGAAGTTCCCTTTTCTACTCAGAAATTACACCCCCAAAGAGGAACACAAATGCTTTCCATCCCCTCCCTGAAATCTCATTATCTACCAAGGAAAGAAGACTGAGCAATGCAATTATACCTGGATAGACTTCTTCCCCAAGATGATGCCTGTTTCTGGAGCTCATACAAATTCCAAAGAGAATCAATTATAAGTTAATTTCTGTCTTCCAGGTCCATTCTTTTTTCCTAATAACAATTTGCTGCCCCTCGAAAACATTGTCTACATTCCCCATCTCTCCCCTTCCCTATAAGGAAGGGTATATAAATTTCTGTACCCCACTGGTTTATTGGGCAATCATTCCCCTGTGATTCTCCCACACTATGAACATTAAAATAATGTTTGCTTGTTTTATCCATGGTGAATCTGCCTTTTGTAGTTGAATTTTTAGTGAAATTTGAGAGGGTGAAGGGGAAGTTTTCCCTTGGCCCCTACAATGCCTGGCCCTCTGGTCTCAGGAGAAGAATGAGAGACATACGGAACAGAGCCACCACAGCCAAACCAGCCCAGCCTAGCTAGAATAGACTGTGCCAAGTCAACCAGCAGAGTTGTGTGCCAACTAAGTGTTTAATGTTTGCCACCGTGGTTTATGTTCGCTTTGCAGTTTCAGTGTTAAAAAGCTAACCAATGCAAAGAGTTCTAACTAGTCGATATATTAAAATTAATTTTTATTTTTAAAGATAACTTTTACTTTTCCAAATCACTGGCTTTATTCTTACTACCCAATATTTTCTTCTCATTTTCCCATTATATAGCATACATGTTGGGCAAATTCCATAGCTGTTTTCTTCAGTCATATACTAAAAAACAAACAACAAAATAGTGTGGTGCTGGCATAAAGACAGTCATATAGACTAATAGAATAAAATACAGGGCCCAGAAATAAACTCTCACATATACCGACAAATAATTTTTCAGTAAGGGTACCAAGACCACTTAATGGGAAAAGGAAAGTCTTTTCAACAAACAGTGCTGGGAAACTGGATATCCACATACAAAAGAATGAAATTAAACTCTTACCTTATACCATAGGTACACATTAACTCAAAGTAGATCACAGACCTAAACATTAACAGCTAAAACTATAGAATTCTTAGAAGAAAACATAAGGGGAAAGATATTTATGATGGTGGACTTTGCAATGACTTCCTGAATATGACATCAAAAGCACAGACAACAAAAGACAAAAGAAATAAATTGGACATCATCAAAACTAAAGACTTTTGTGCATCAAAGGACACTATCAACAGAGTAAAAAGACGATTTACAGAATGGGAGAAAATATTTGCAAGTCATGTATCTGATAGGTGATTAATATCTAGAATATATGAAGAACTCTTACAACTCAAAAACAACAACAAAATCCAACTTAAAAATGGACAAAAGACTTGAATGGACGTATTTCAAAAAAACAAAAAAATATGTAAATAAACACATGAAAAGATGCTCAACGTAATTTCCCTAATCATTAGAAAAATGCAAATCAAAACCACAATGAGATACCACTTTACACCCATTGGAATGGTCATTATAAAAACAAACAAAACAACAATAGAAAACAACAGGTGTTGATGAGGAAGTGGAGAAAATGGAATCCTTGTGTATTTCTGGCGGGTATGTAAAATGGTACAGCCCTACATGAAAGCGGAATTGTGGCTCTTCAAAAAAATAAAATAAAATAAACCTGGAATTACTATATAATCCAGCAATTCCACTTTTAGGTATGCTACCAAAAGAATTGAAACCGGGGACTCAAACGGATTTTGGTACACTCAGGTTTCTAGCAGTATTATTCATGATAACCAAAACATAAAAACAATCCAAGTATTCATCAAGTGGATAAACAAATGTGAAATATACATGCAATGGAACATTATTTCACCTTAAAAAGGAAGGAAATCCTGACACATATTACAACATAGGTGAACCTTGAAGACATTATGCTAAGTAAAATAAATCAGCCATGAAAGAACAAATACTATATGATCCCAACTATATAAAGTACCTAGAGTAGTCACATTCATAGAGACAGAGAGCACAAGCGTGGTTGACAGACACTGGGGTAATGGGAAGTTAGTGTTTATTGGGTATTAAGTTTCAGTTTGGGAAGATAAAAAAGTTCTGGAGATAGGTTGTGGTGACGGTTGCACAATGATGAGTGACTGCACTTATGCCATTTAACTGTACACATAAAAATGGTTAAATGGTAAATTTTATGTATGTTTCATCACAATAAAACAGACAAATAAAAACCTTACAAGCAAGCAAATGTATTTCAGACCATTTTACTCCTTTGAACCATCCAACTGAGCATTGATCCTGAGTCTGACACTAAGTAAACCTCCAACTTAGGGTCCTAAATTGGAGGTAGGTGGGATGAAGAAGGCAGGTTGTATCTGTTGTTGATTGTTTTTATTTTGGCTCTCCTCCTACCTTCTTCTAGTTCTAGCTTTCTAGAGTTAAAGTCTAGAGGAAGAGATTAGAGACATATTAGGGCTTATTTAACAAAACAATTCCACTGATTCTGGTGAAGATATACTTTCTGTCATGTTCTGGCTTGGTGTAGTCTGCTGCTGTAGCCTCAGCTGGTATGTGGTTTCCATGTGTGGGATGCTCTCCCAGGATCTCCGCCTCTTACTTGGCTCTGCTCCCTTTGAAACCCTGTGGCAAGACTGCTGATTCTGTAATTCAGCAAGTGTCCAGGCAGGGAGTGAGATGCCAGCTTCCCTTTACATTAATTTACTACCTATAATTTACTTTAAAATACATCAGTAGAGACCGTGGGATATAATGACCTGTGCATTGAGTTCATTCTCTTGGAAAAGTTAGTCCACGTTTAATCTAGTCTAATCAGAAATGCATAGTCCCTTGAAAGATAGCTAGCATTTGAAGATTTCAATCAGGTATCTACAGATAGCTAAGACATGCATTTTAAATATCCCTGTCTAAATCTTTACTAGAGGACTTACTAACTAGAATTAGGTGTATGTGAAGAGTGAAGTGTGGAGTTTAAAATATGGGGGGGCTGAAAAGCCTGCCCTTGTATAAACAGGGTGTACCATAGTGAATCTGTCCACTCTTGCAACCTAATACATTTAGAGAAATACATTTAGTCTATGGCATTCTACACTCTCTCTTGCCCACCTCACCCCACAGTCTGAAGGATTCTGTTATCTGATTCGATTAGAAAATTAGTCGATCATGCTATCAGAACATTGTTGAAAACTTTCCTGTGGCCAGTTGTCAAAGTACCTAATAGCCAGAGAGTACAAATTACCCGAGTTTATAGAAAAAGATTGAATGCTCCATTTTTGTGTCTGCTTGCTAAAAAATGTTTACATGAGTGCAAAATTTGTTCCAGGCAATTAGTAGGTGGCTCAATAATGTCTGCAGAATAAATAAATTGCATAGGAACCTAAAAGACCTTCTATTTCTCACCTGCAAAAGAAGAAATGAGGGCTGACTAGAAATTGATCAATCAGGAAAATTTATTTATACGTAAGAATCTAATACACAGGGAAAACTGGATATGGATAGCTAGCCAAATGAATAATAGATAGATAAATGAACTATTTCATTGCTTCCATATCTGTTTATAACGGTTAAAGGGTTCATCTACCATCCTCTTTACATGCTTAACCTCTCCTTGGAGTCGGGAATAATGCACCCTCTTGTAGCCCATTCCAGGGGACACCAAGTGAAGCATCTCCCTTGAGTCCAATAACACCCTCTTCCAAATAGGAGCCCTGTTACTTTCATGAAATTGTACAATCTCAGAGGAATAGCAGCTGCTTCTGCAGCTGTAATGCTGAGTAGAACCTTAAGTAAATAGCTAGAAAGGCCAGTGAACAATGAATTATAATAAACCAACTATAATTAGTAATAAAAGCCTTAAAATAACTGTACTCATGAGATAGTATTGGTCATATCCTTGCTGTGTTCTGGAAATAACAGAATCATTTTTTTCACCCAATATAACTACAATGGTAATTAAAAGCTGATTTAGGATCAAAGGCAACCTCAAGGTTATAAATGTAAGTAGCTCGCTCTGAAAGTGTAAGTAGCTTGTTCATATTCACGTATTCACATTAAAAAAAATGGGAAGGGGCTTTCGGATTCTACTTTAGGAAAAAAAAAGCTGGGAAAAATCAGCTGATAAGTAAACCAAATCACTCAATTGATACAAAAGCAATTTTTATGCTTAAAACATTTTGAGGGAGAGAAGACATAAGTTGGCATGAGGGGGAAAAATCTGTTTATACAGTGTTTTCTCTCTGGAAAGGAAAATTTTAATTGCTAATATCCATGATATAAGATGTGAAAGAAATTGAACTAATAGTGAATAATATAAGCAAAAGTAGTTGAATGATACTTCCAACACTTTTTAGCAACAGGTAGGAACTTTCTGGGCCGAAACCAATTACACCTGTTGCTGTGTGGTACAAATATATATTTATCACTGTGTTTTTCTCACTGTTTCATAACCATTTATTATTACAGATTTAAAAAATTGTTTACTTGATGAAATTAAAATATCTAGCTATAAGCACAAAACCACAGCAGAAAGAATGTGTCAAAATCATTAAGGGCAATGTTAAAAAATGTATTAGATTTGGTGCTTCAGGATGAGTATAATATTCTGTCAATAAGGAGTCTTCAAGGGAAACACATGGTGTGATCCCATGTCATTGGTATTAAACATAGTGAGCAAAATAAAAACAGACTTGCCCTCATGGAGTTTACAGTCCACCTAGAGAGACAGGCATTCATCGATTTACAACACAGATACATGCGCAATCACTAAGTCCTTTAAAGAGGAAGTCCAGAGGGCCGTGAAAAGTGTAGGACAGAATTAGCTAGTCTTAGGAGGGTGGGGAGGTGGTCAGAGGACGAATCCCTGAAGAAGAGCTCTTTGGGACAAGAATGATGACCACTAGGTGAAGGGACCCTCTGGAGGACTGCGAGGGGAAAATGGCATGAGGGGATGAGGGAACAGAGTCAGTTTCACGTGTGCAAGAAAGTTCTATGGCTAAAGGTGGCATGGCACATAAGAGGAACTAACCAAAAGCCACTTTTTTCTACAAGAAAAATGTTGCAAATGTGTTTGTTTCATTGTTAAGCAGGTGTGGTACATCTGACGTGAGTATTTTCTCTTCCCTCTTTATGCTGCTGGCATCCTTTCATGAGTTGAGACACAGCCCCAGAATCTTTGTTTACTTAGCATTCCAGAGATTGACCAAGGCAAGCAGCTACCCATGTGTTAACCCCATCATAAAGGGTAGGAATCCAAGTGAGTATTAATCTGTATGTCCCCAGCATCCAACTTCCTTTCATGTGACAGGTCCTCAATAAACACGGAATAACACAAAGCATGAAGGAAGATCATGAGCAAGGACAGTAATGAGGCAACGAGACTGCTGGTTTATTCACTCATTTGTTAAAAAATATTATTGATCACCTACCAACTCCCAACCATTTTCTTTTCTGATTCGTAGGGATAGAGTCACAATGCAAACAGAAAAAATCTTTAATCTCATGGAGTTTACTAGCTAATGGTATCAAAAGAGACCATAATAAAGTAATTAAATCAATAAACAAAAATAATATGTTGTGATAGATGCTATTATAAAGGCAATAAATGGGGTGATGACAGAGTAACATACACTACTCAAAAAAGTCTTCCCTAATTATGAGATGTCTGAGCTGAGATACGAATGAAGGATGAAAACAAGTCCACTTTGGGAAGCACAGGTGAAGAGCAGACAGACACAGACATGTCAGGTTGAGGAAGAGCTGGAATATTCCAGGAAGAGACAGAGACAGAGACTCATTCATGCTGTGCGGAGAGTGGTTAGCAAGCAGGAGAGGGGTAGGCTATGGGGATCAAGGACCAGGCATGAGTAGAATCATGCATGTATGTCTAGGGCAAGGAAGATAGTCTAGATTTTCTTCTGAGACCATGGGAAAGTGAATGGCAGGTGTTAGGCTGCAGAGCGGGAAGCACCTCAGGGTGCATGTTTTACAGTTATCTTTCTGACTGTTGGGTGGAGAAGAACTGGATTTCAGAGGGCAAGCGTGATAGCACAAAGATATACCCAACATCAGTGATCAAATGGTTTGTGAATAGGGAACTTATTTCTCTGTCTTGGCTACAAGGAAAAACAGAAACAAAGCAGAACAAATATGTCAACCTACGAAGGTGAAAATAAAAACAGTTCACAGGAAAAGATCATAGCATGACCATGTTATCTAACAGAATAAAATAATGAATGAATAAACGAGTGAAGAATGAGTGAGTGAATTAAACCCAGACATGAACTGAGGGATTTGTTTGTGCAAGGCGTATAAGCATTCATGAGTACACCAAAGAATACCTATCTATCTTAAACCAGGATCTTTTAATTTCAACTACAATTTGTAACATGATCCTACCTCTAGTTTGCATTCCATTTGGCAAATATTTTCATGTAATATAGGCATACTGCTTTGAAAACAATATTTTTCTATTATCTAGCATCAAAACATTTTTATGCCTCAGATTAATTTTTTGCCTGAACTCCAGAGGAAACCCTTCTAATGATATTCTGATTGGTGTCAAGGAACAGTGTTTTAATTCATTCCAGCTGTGACAATTTGTGCTCATTTCTCTTCTCTGTGAAGGTGCACCTTCTGCTTGTGGCCACCTAATTCTTGACACTGGGTTTTCCACCATCATGATTTGACCTGGGTCCCTGGTTTCCCACCTTGGCCTTTCGACCTCTCCCATTTCCCACACTGAGGGTATATTCTCTTTGGCTTCTGACCTAAGCTTTTCTCATTAGCAGGCACTAATGAGCACTCCAGTGAAAGCAGAAAGGAGACCTCGTCACACCTCTATCTCTCCTGGAACTTATGTGATGCCAGGCCTGACTTCCAACCCAAAGAAAAGTGGGATCAAAATATGTTTACAGACTTATCATCATAAAAAGAAGGAAGTTTATATTTTAGACCTATCTTACTGACTGAGCAAGGCTTCATAGTATTTGAGTCAAACAAATTTTTATCTTTTTTACTCTGTCCTACATAGAGCTCCTGGAACAATGTAAATATCCAACATATTTAGAGTATTTCAGACACTGCCACATGTTTTCTGGTTCAATTTTTATAACGAACTCATCAGATGGATTCAATTTTTATTCCAATTTTAAAGGTTGGGAGACCATAATTTGAAGATGTTAAATAGCTTGCCAAGATTATTTGGTTAGAAAAGTCAGGATTTATCTCAGGCCTGTGTTATTCCACAACCCTCACCTTTAGCTACTATTAATAGCTGGAGTATCTTCCAAGAAAGTAAAACACTTATTCCTCTATGCTATATTTTGTACTTTATTCCTGGATTTAAAATAGATTAAATTCATGTCATAACAAGAAAACAGGATGTTTTAAGTGAAAAGTCTCCATGTATGAGTTGAAAACTTAATTATCATTATACCAGCATATCTAGCCAAAAAGATTTAAAATATTAACAACAACATTAATTTTCTCTGTGGATTATTTTGGGATTGACATAATATAAAATAGCAGGCCAACCATTCAAATTCTGCAACCAATTCTTAAGACTTGTCTAAAACCCACATTATACCTTAATATATTCAACTGAATGTTAGTATCATGGATGACTTTTCTCACTCCTACATGAATTATTTTTCTTTCTGTCTCTAAACAGGAGGGGAAAATGTGTATTAACAAACAAGATGTTGTAAAATTTGCAGAATATTGAAAATTTTGCTTCAAGGCTAGAAAACTCAGTTTATTTAATAATTCAAACCTGTCTTCCTAGGTGGGCTTCACAATTGCAATGAAAAGTCAGGAGCATGAGACTGCCTTCCCCAGGAAACACACTCTTCTTAGCATACCGATCAGAACGTTTTCCTCTTTGTCTTCAATAGATCAATAATATTGAGGCCGCTAAAGTATATGTCCAACAGAGGACTCCATTTCAGAATTCACTCCTGAAATTTTTTCCAACACAGCAGCTGATATTATCTGCAACTCATCAATTTCTTACCTCCTCTGACCATAGCTTATATGTATCTAACATCAAGAGTTCTTATCCTAACTCTTTTACATTATAGCAGTTTCCTTTGGGATTATATTTCAGAAAGTAAAATGCTCTTTGGGAGCTATTTAATTTTTCCTCGGCTTGTTCTTTTTCCTGCCCATCCACCTTGCCCCCCTAAAATCCCACAGACTTGTCATTTTTTAAGTTGAAGTATCAGCTTTATCATAAAGTTTATCCTCTGTAGGCACGAACAAGCAAAACCAGAATGAAAGGAAAGAACTGAAACACCAAGAAAACACACACACACACACACACACACACACACACACACACACAGCTATAAATGTGTAGAAAGCATACATACATACAAGCAACCTATTCTGTGTTAACAAAATAGAAAATCTCATTAAATCCTCACCAAAAAACACAGAAATGTCTAATGTTACAGGTTTAAAAGCTAGACATTCTCAAACATTTATTAAAAAGAAAATACTAATAAAAAATAATACATTAGTTGTAGGAGTTTTTAGAGTTTCAGAGTGCTGGTACATATGTTATCTTGCTGCCTTTTTGGAGCTTGAACAAATCTAATGCAATGTGTAATTTGCCTCGGTACCATGGCACGTTTCTATTTTATAAAAGAAAACTGTAAATAAGGTTAGATGTCCAAAAAAAAGCAAAATAAACTGCTTACTAAATAGAGAGAAGGCATCCATGAAGATGGCAAGGACAGTCAAGTTTCAGGAAAGCACATAATTAACTATGGCTTGGAAGTTTTCCAAAATCTCATTCACCAACTGGCTAACACTTAGGCTGAAACACGCTGGGTGACAGGAAGAACTCTCAGGGTGAAAGCTACCAGCTCTGAAACAGAGCCTCATTAGAACACATCAGGGCTCCTTCCACGATGGCCCTTCCTGATCCAGGGCAATAGATGCAACGAAGCAAAAGGGGACCTCGACATGGGCTCATCTGACAGCGTAGCCAAGTCATGATGATGGCTTAGATTGAAAATCAAAGAAAAAGATCACACTAGTAAAAATTGTGAACACACAATATTGAAACTTGACAGAGTCATAGATGGTAGATTTTATATCTATGTCTGTTCATGGATATTGACATAATTTTTTAAAATGTTTTCTGTTATCATTTGTTTATTCAGTCATTTAAGTAACTTTCCTTAAGCAGCTGTATATCAGACAATGGGGGGTTAAAAAAATGAATACGAGAACAAGACACTTTCTTATCAGCAAGCTCCTGGACTAGAGATGAAACTGATGAGTAAGGAGAATTATGGTAAGTGGTAAGTTGAGAGTCTAATGAGGGACCCGGGTAACTAACTTAGCCTGGGAGGAGAGAGAAGCAGCTGTTTGTATTTTGATAAATACATGCATTTTTTCCCCATGTATGTGAGTAGCAAGAAAGGTTACGATTCTGACTAAGAACAAGTAAAATAACAAATGAAGCTACTGCCGATTTGCATATTCACTTAGAAACAAGAATTCAAATACTTTGATTGGGTGAACACAGTACTGACTCTTTAGTTTTATGACACACGTGCTGTCATTCCTGGGGATTACCTACAGAAGAGCTTCAACAGGGGGCTGCTCTCTAAACACCATGCAGAGCCGTCTGGATGTCTTTGTTGAATCTAGAAGAGAGGAAAAGCACCAGCTAAAGCTATCAGCTTATGACACAAAGGTAGCACTGAGAATAAGTGATAGGAAATATCCACACCACAAAGATCTACCCACCGAACACAGAGAATGCCAAGGACATAGGTGGATTAGTGGGTTTATCTCAGAAGTGACAGGTTTCTGCATTTCAGAAGCAACATGCTGGAGTGGGTGATAGAAGGGCTTTATATGAATAAAACCAAGATCCCCATTCACTGGAAAACCTTGGATTTCTTTTTTGATCTAAACCCAGTTTGGAAATCCTAGATTAACCCGATAGAGCCAGTTTTTCTTCTGTTTCAGTTGCTGCTTCCATGAGAATTCGAGCAAATTCTGAAATGCAACGCCTGTCACTATAACCATTAAGAAACATGATAGGGAAGTGAAGAGAAAACAGTTTTTTAAAAAAACAACTTCTGCTTTTAATAGTTTTGCCTTCTTCCCAAAGGTCACACAAGCTATTTGTCTGTCTCTCTGTTGAGTGGCTGTATTCATTTCATTTCATTTCATTTCATCATTTAGAGAGATAATCAGAAGTCATTATTTGTCTTAGGTTTGGACTTAATTCAATTCACTGAAAAGAAATGCAAAGGGCAAACATTGTGAAAGCTGCAAAACAGGACACCTTACTCTGAGTCAACTATCTCATGAGTAAGTCTTTCTGTTGGGTTCAATCTTACATGAGAATCTTAAGAGAATTTACAACATGCCACCATAACACACTTGTGAATTTCTTTTAATGCTGGTAGCACAAGTTAAACCCAATAACCACAAGAAAATTACATTTAGGCCTTCTCTAAGCATCAACTTGAGAAACAAGGTGACAAGACAAATATTTAGGACTATACACAAGTGTAGAGACACCTGATGATTTTATCACGTTCCTGAATTGCTTTGGGACTTTCGTCTGAGTTCTGACAAGCAATCAGATGAAAACTGTCAATTGTGATAATTGGAAAATACCTATTTAGCAAAATCTGATGTTGGAGCTCTAAAATATTTCTCACTCTACCTGCATCAGAGTTTCCGGAACTACAATCACAAGAGAAACACAGTGGAAATGGAAAAGCAGATATTTTGGCCTCTATTTCCAAGATAACTGTACTAACTGCTAATTTTTAATGACTATTAGCTGTAAAGAGCTTTGCTTCTTGGGCCTAGCTTTTCAAACAGGAAGCTAAAACCCTCTGCAGAACTTTGTTTTGATGGGCATGATAGTTCCCTTTGCTTCTGAAAAGAAAATAACAATAATTAAGCACTTAAAGCTTCTGCAGATGAGCCTATTTTTTCTCCTTCTTAAAAAAAATCATCAGACTCTTTGTAAACAGGACCTAATTAATATAACTAGTTTCATCGTAATTATCAACCCTGTAAGACAAATTTGGTATCCATGATGTACAATCTGCACAGAATTCCCTAAGTTGTAACTATGGAGAAAATTACTGGTCATCAGAGTTTACCAAATGGCGCTGTAAAGAAATACTAAACCCATTAGAATAGCAGGTTTCATTTACCAGAAGATATTAAAATCCTGTCCATGTGATTTCCATCATGAAGGTTTTCACTGAAATAATAAAAAATGAATGAAGGAAATCAAATGTAGTCATCTAGTTAAATATTCATTTTCCAATCTTTAGAGAGCTGTTCATGATACTTTGAACACCTGGCCTTTACTAGAGTGTTGCCTGATTTTAAACCTGTTCTCATACCATAGCAAATTCCAGGAAGGCCACCAGTTAATCCCATAATTATGAAAAGCCAAAATAATGAAGTGTCCTTCTTCTGAATCCAGGAGTAATGGAACAAACCTTTGATTCTAGTAAAAAAAAAAAAAAAAAAAAAAAACCTGGAGAATTCTTTCAGTGCCTGGGCCAGAGGCAAGTGAAGCTCCATTGGTTCCAAATTTAAGGAGACACTCACTCAGAGGTGTGGACCCTCCATGTTCATGAAGCTGAGAGAAAGGGCCTCCTTACCTTTTGCCCCAGAGGCACCTCATTTACTTCATTCTAGTCCTAGCCCTGAGTCCTCTGGCATTTGTGGTAATCATATCTCATTGCAGTTTTATTGATAACCATGAAAACAACAAAAATTTAAATTTTTTTTCCCCATGTTTGATAGAACTATAAGACTGTATGTTTTCTACAGTTGCAACTTAAATATGAACATGCATTTTGGTAAATGTAAGAGAAAATAAATGCAAAATCCTCAGATAGGGATAGGAGGTAAGAAATCAGGTAAGGTGAGGTAAAGGAGAAGCTTCCTAGGTTATTTCCTAACCTTATCCCCACTTCACACACCCAGGAGGTGACCTGGTGAGTGGTGCAGTCATTGGGAAATATGAAATATTGTGCTAGGAAAGAAACAAGTGAAACAAGGAAACAAGGAAAGAAACAAGTGAAAGAAAAATAAATAAAAACACAGCATTTTTAAGGCAAGGAATGCAATCAGCAAGGCACATGCCTTAGTGAAACAAAACAATCAAAATGCCGAGATATAAAGTGGAAAGAAAAAGGACATGTAAACTAGGATTTCAGTTCTGAAATCAAATCTGAGCCCTGTCCTACATGTGAACTTTTGAAGCAAGTTAATTTCCATGAAACTTAGTTTCCTCAACTATGAATTAAGAATGATAGAACCACAAGAGCAAAATCATAGCAATAATAGCTCTATTGAGGTAGAACTGTACCTATATGCCAGGCACTTTGAACAAGTATTATGATTACAGCTCTGGGAGATAGCAGTTTTTCCTATTTTACCAAGAAGAAAATGCGGATGATAACAAGATGCATTAAATTATTTTATGTATACATTACTGTCTGTATATTTTCATCAACATAATATAATGCTTTAAATCATAATGTACTATGTCATCAGAATAATACTTACACACACACACACACATACATTCATACATAGCATAATCATAACAGTGCATTAAATTGAATGTATAAAGCAACTTGCAAGGCAGAAAGTTGAGGAAGCTCAAGGAAGAGTGGCCATTATTATGGTAAATTATAAATTTATTTACTGAATGTTATTTTAATATAAATAAAAAAATTTAAAATATTTTCTTTGGATTAATTTATTTGTTATCTTTTTCACTATTCCATCAATGTGGAAAGAAGCAGTAAAAGAGAAGTCCATAAGCATCGTCACCAATCTCCCTCAAAAGGCATGACTAGATTTTGGGCTTTGAAAGTCCGAGTGAATCCGTTAATACTTAGGAAAAGGGCACATTGCTGGGCACAGTGGCTCACGCCTGTAATCCCAGCACTTTGGAAGGCCGAGGTGGGCGGATTGCCTGAGCTCAGGAGTTCGGGACCAGCCTGACCAACACGGTGAAACCCCGTCTCTACTAAAATACGAAAAATTAGCCTGGGGTAGTGGCATGCACTTGTAGTCCCAGCTACTCAGGAGGCTGAGGCAGGAGAATTGCTTGAACCTGGGAGGTGGAGGTTGCAGTGAGCCCAGATCGCACCACTGCACTCCAGCATGAGCGACAGAGCAAGACTCCATTGCCAAAAAAAGGGTACATCATCAGGGCGTTAGGTACAAAGGGCCAGGGGAGAGGAAATTGGAGGCCATGGATTTTCATAATAATACAAATGAAATGCTAAGAAGCTTAGCGTGGCAGGAGGAGCTGTCACACTCATAAAGCCAAACTGCCCACTCCTGCCCATGGCCAGTCTGGGTTTCAGGGACAGAGCTGGGAAACAGACCTAGGAGTTAAGATACCTGAGCTAGACAACTGTCTTTGTTGGAACCAACAGGAGTTTGTGAGTCGACAAATAGAAACAAAGACCCCAACTGCTGTTCGCAGTTGTACAACATAGATATCTTAGCCTGCAGGTAATACTTTTGTATTAGAGGAGCTTCAGATTTCAGCTGTAAGTGCACAGCTAGATACTGCTTACAAATGCTTTTCCTTCATTTTTTTTTTTTTTGCCTTCCATTTAGCTTTGTTAAACAAAATATGATGATTTGTCTACTCAAAAGACAACCTTATAGACACAAAGTCTGTTTTCTATACATAAAGGCCTGGAACACTGAGAAATTTATGAAAGAATAAAAAGGACATGGTTTGAAATAGGAATTATTATTGCTGAGCAATTTCAACTTGCCGTCTCCTTCCAGTAATAGGTTGGAGGAAACCCATCACCATTTACTGCAGTGCCTCACATCAGGAAGCAGGATGTCAAGGGAAGCTTGTTGATTAAAGATTAGGTATCTATATTTTTCATTAGCAATCACTTCAGAAAACAACGAACATATCTAAAGCCAAAATGTCAGAGCAAATATAAGATTACCCCATTCCCATTCTTAGAACATAGGTAATTATTGTATCAAAACATTCAAAAGCCAAAGTCTAAATTCAATAACCCAGCAGCCTTTTAAAGGGTCATGGAGATTTGCCTTTGAAGGCAGTGGATCTCAGAATTGAAGCTCCCAGCTCCTTGAGTAGAAGATGTAATTTTCTGTTGTTCTATGTAATCAGAATGCACTTGGGTTAGTAGCACATGTTACACCTAAACTTCACCAACCACAGCTGAGAAGGCAGATGGATATGAGGAAAATAAGGGAGGAAGTCCCATGAAACCTGAAGTCTCCTGACTCAAAGGATCTGGGTGGAGAAAGAGGGACTGTTGGTGTAGGTATTTTGGTAGCAGGGATGTCAGTCAACAGGCTGCCTTTGCGCTCTCAAACACAACATTATCTTACTTGGGAGAGGAACAGGAGAGGACAGATTTGGGATATATTTTGGAGAACCAATCAGTGTCACTTTAGAAATCACTGTAGCCTTAGGCCTTCTACAATCACCCTAACTTATATGGAAACCCAAACCCCAGCCAACTCTATCACATTACCCTGATTCTATTTTCTTCATAGCCTTTATCAATTATAGAAATAACTTGTTTACTTCTTCATTGTTTGCCTCTTGCAATAGAATGTAAGCTCTTAGACAAGAGAGTTCGGGGTTTTCCACTCTTTTATCTCTAGCACCATAGAACTGTGCTTGGCACTATTAACAATAAGCAAAACAGAGAAATAATATCAAAATAATTGTGCCTTAAATGTTATGCCATATTTAAGAAAGAGTTTTTGAGAATATATTGTTAAATATGTACCTATTGGTAAGTATTTTAATATATTGCACATAAAAAGTATACAAAATATATACATATAATTTGAATAATAATAAAATAAAAACCCATGTGGCTACAACCATCTTAAGAAGGGACCATTGCTGTTATCTTAAAAGATGTCTTCCACAAAATTAGGCCCAGCCCACATAAGGGACATAGATTCCTATCTCCAGGTATTTTCCTTTCCTTGCTTTCTCTTGATTAACTAGATTTGTGCAAGGGAAATAGTATTAAACAATGGGGTATAGTGGCTGGAGCTATGGTCCTATCCATAAAACTTTTTGTGATACATATTCTTCCTATAAATATTTATTTATGCATTATATGCATTTACTAATGTTCAATATATTTTAAACATTATAAAACCTTTCAGAATGAGAGGTACAGAGTGTACTTTTAAAAAATATATAAATTTAAAAGATGTTATGAATATTTATATAATTGTACAAACTGGTTTATTCTCATTAAATATATTATTGGCATGATTAGTGCTATATTCTATTAAATGAAAGATGTGCATATTACTAAGGAAGAATAAATACTGGCAATTTGACTATCACATGCCACCCATCAAACATAAGGTACACTTCTAAAAATTTTAGAAATGATAAAATACATACACTTTTTAATCAATGAAATGCAGTATATTTTCTAATGAAAAAATCCAACTGGACACAGTTGTTACTGAAAATTGTGTTTCCATAATACAATATTATACAACTATAATACAGCATTTTAAGTGCCTAGTTACAAGATTATTTTAATTCCAGTTTTGGGTTTTGTGTTTGCTAGAGCTATGATAAAGATACTTTACAAATATGTATTTTTTGCATATATATTATAAACACACACAGATACATATATATCTCCAAATAAAAGAAAAACATAAGATTGTTTTTTAATAATAAAATTTTTAATCCAACCCACCAATTATTTAAAAGGTTTTGGTGTTGCAATTGCAAATTCTCAGAAGGGGTGCATTTAACAATTTTTTTTTTTACAAATGACTTAAAAATACACTAAAGCTTCATACTCAGAAGATTTTAATTCAAGCTCAGTGACTGTGCATCCAAGTGCGTGTGAGTGTATGTGTATGTATGGGTGTGCTGGCTTTATCCATGGGGCTGCTAGTTCATTTTTTATAGCTAAAAATACAAGAGAACACATAGGAAAAAGAAGAAAAATGAACAGAAGATATGAAAAAGAAGAGGAGGAGGAGTAAGAGGAGAAGGAAAGAAGAGGAGGACCTGGAGAAGTTGGGGTAAGAAGAAGAGGAAAAGAAAGAAGAAGAAGAGGCCCAGTGCAGTAACTCACACCTGTAATCCCAGAAATTTGGGAGGCCGAGGCGGGTGGATCACCTGAGGTCAGGAGTTCGAGACCAGCCTGTCCAACATGGCGAAACCCCATGTTTAGTAGAGACATTCTAGTCTCTACTAAAAATACAAAAATTAGCCAAGCATGGTGGTGGGCGCCTGTAATCCCAATTACTTGAGAGGCTGAGGCAGGAGAATCGCTCGAACCTGGGAGGCGAAGGGTGCAGTGGGCTGAGATTGCACCACTACACTCCAGCCTGGGTGACAGAGCAACACTCTGTCTCAAAAAAAAAAAAAAAAAAAAAAAAAAGAAAGAAAGAAGAAGAAAAGGAGATGGGGGGAAGAAGGATAGAGAAAAAGGGAAGGAGGAGAGAGAAGGGAGGAATAAGGAAAAGGGAGGATAAAGAGAAAGGGGAAATAAATATATTCTGAGGAGAGTGCTAAATCAATTAATATCTTGAAATAAATATATGTAAAAATTCTTAATATTTTTCTGTTTTAATTAAGAATTTTTCCCATAAAGGGACAATTAAGGAAAAATTTCAAAAGATGTTAGATGAGGCGCTCTTGTTCATCTCAGACATCCTTTCATTGAAAGCTGATCCAGGATACGTATTATTGAAAACTTTTTTTTTTTTTTTTTGAGACAGGGTCTCATTCTGTCACCCAGGCCGGAGTGCAGTGGCATAACCTTGACTCACTGCAGCCTCCACCTCCTGGGTTCAAGCGATTCTCCTGCCTCAGCCTCCCTAGTAGCTGGGATTACAAGCATGTGCCACCACGCCTGGGTAATTTTCTCTGTATTTTTAGTAGAGACTAGAGACGGGGTTTCACCATGTTGGCCAGGCTGGTCTTGAACTCCTGTGCTCAGCTGATCCGCCCACCTCGGCCTCCCAAAGTGCTGGAATTACAGGCTTGAGCCACTGCACCCGGCCTGAAAACCTTTTCTAAGACCACTGCTTCTGCACCAATTAATTTAATTTTGCAATATTAAAAATATATTAGCTAGAAAGGATAAAAAAATTCCTCCCTTCCTTTTCTTCCTTCCTTCCTTTAATTCCTCCCTTCCTCTCTGCTTCCCTTCCTTTTTCCTTTCCTTCCACAGTTCTTTTTTCCTTCCCTCTTCTTACTTGTTTGACTGTCCTGTCCCTCTTTCAAGAGGGAACATTTGTTTCTTAAAAGTAAATATTACATGCAATGAATTCCCCCATACAAGTTCTTGAGTTGGTTTTTGAAAATTAGTATATTGAGAGTAAAATTTGGAAGAAAAGCTCATAGAATGAACTATTATAGTCATGCATACTATTCTTATTATAGACAAGACATACAATCAAGTTTTGAAGTATGTACCCTTTTTTAGTGTTAATATCATAAATTGCTGCTATATAAAAAGCACTCTTGACAATACATTATTTATATTTTAATGTTGTCTTTGCAATACATTATCATGGCAATTTGTGTACTTTTTTTTTCTTTTTTTTTGGATTTTAGGGTTTTTTTCACCAATGTAGTGGAATATTGCCAATAAGAATTGCTCATAAAAATATGACCTTGTTATTTTTTTCCAATGAGACAATGTAAAGGGAGGAACGCTAATAATCTAAACAATATTTAACACCTTTAGCATCTGTTGGAAAGCAAATATGAAGACTAATGTTCTCCTAGATAGCTCATTCAATGTTTATCTTGATGACTAGAAAACAAGCAACCGAACAACCATTGAACTGAATTACAGTAAAATATACGTTTTTCACAGAGAGGAGCACAAAATCAGTTTTCATTTGGCATGCTAAGTATGCTATATTTGAACAGAATGTTACATATTCATTTCATTCATCATTTAAAGGCAGATAATCAGGAAGTCATTACGTGGCCTGCATTGGGCAGCTATTTGATTAGAGCATAATTGAGCACTCTGTAATTCAGCCAAAGCTGACAGGTTGGGAATGCATAATATCCATTCTAGGTATTTTGAACATGGGGAAAACTATGGGGCAAATGGTGTTCGCTGGTCAAAAGTGGCCACTGGAATAAAAGAGAAAACCCAGAAAAATAAAAAATTTAATTTACATTTTGTTCTTTTTCATTGTTAAAATTGTTCTGTTTGTTTTATTTTGCAAACTGGTCATTTATAAACTGCAGTAACTCATGTGGGAAATTATTCTCTCTGGCATCAGAAAACTTCATGTGACATTTTGAGTCCCGCTGGCATCACTCTGTGGTGGTCCAGACTGACTGTTCATAGATTCTTAGACATGAAGGTAGTAAGTTAAAGCAGAACCTGATTTTATCCAGGAGTTTATGAAGTGGGGAACTGGGGATGGAAATTAACATGCGGAAGTGCATGACAAGGCAGAGCAAAAACTGGAGAAGACAAGCTAAAGATATTCTTACCATGCTTATGGTTGGTGGGGACAGGACATCATAATATAAATGCCAGGCTGTGTATCGTCAGCTCATTTACTTCTTTAAAACATCACTAGCACATGACAGGCATGACTTTCCAATGGTCCACTTGCTGTTTCCTGCTTGTCAAATTTCTCTTCCATCTTTAGCCTTCCTATCCAAACCCAATGTGAAGTTTCAATCAGAAGGGAAAGCATTAGGGAACTTTATTAGGTTCAGAAATAAAATATATTTAGCTGCACAATTTATAAATATTTACTAACTTTTTTGTTACAGTAGCAACTAAATTTGCAATTTTAAGTGACAAGGAGGAGTATTTTATCATTGTCATTTGTATTCGTTTTCTAGGACTGCTGTAACAAAGTATGGCAAACTGCGTGGCTTAAAACAACAGATATTTATTGTCTTACAGTTCTGGAGGCTAGAAACCTGAAATTAAGGTGTTATTGGTAGGGCTGATTCTTTCTGAGGGCTCTGAAGAAGAATCTGTTTCATGCCTCTCTCCTAGCTTCTAGCAACAGCCAGCAGTACTTAGCGTCTGTTGACTTGTAGATGTATTGCTCCAATCTCTGCCTCCATCTTCACATGGTATTCTCCCTGTGCCTCTGTGTCTTCACATAGCTGTTTTATTTTAAGAACAACACATATATTGGATGAGGGGCCCAACCTTCTTCTGTATGACTTCATCTTAACTAACTACATCTGCAATAATCCTATTTCCAAATGTCACATTCCGAGGTACCGGGAATTAGAATCTCAACGTATCTTCTTCAGGGACACAATTCAATCCAGACGGCATTGTCTAGAATTGTTGACATATGGTAATAATACAATGCAAATTGATTAACTTTTAGTTGGTTCTAAAATTCTCTATAGAAAAATCACTCCTTTACTGTAGCAAGTGGAGAAGATTACGCCAACTGCCAACTGATGGTACTGTTTGACTTGATCAAAAGACATATTAAGACAGAAAATATATGAGGCAGAGGTGTAAAGAATCCAGCCTCTTGTGATCATGAAAATAGAGTCAGCCAAAGACAGAGTGAAAAAAGTCTCAACTAAAAAAGAAGAGACCCCCTCATTGCCCTTTATGAAATGACTCCCTCATTGTGCTGTTGATACTAAAAGACATATTAATGTTCAAATAAATGTTGGTAGTAACCAGTTGCAGACAGTCATGGGCTCTTGTGACCTGCATCTCATGGGGGATCTTGAGACCTGTATTTTATGGGAGGGATGGGGTAGACTTTGAAAGGCGTTTGAGTCAGCAACAAAGCGTGAAATAACATGGGAAAGTTGTGGATGATAAAGAAAATGCTGAGCCTACAAGTTCAAGAATTGCTTGGCTACTATTCTTGCATCTCCTTCTCCCAGTGATGTAGTCTCAATAGTATACAGTCCCTTTAGTACAGTCTCTACAGTATATAGTATAGGAGTGTAGCAGGATATGAAGAAGGAAATTTCAGCCAAAAAGCTTATAAATCAATAGCATATTCCCAAGTGAGGTGCTAAATAAAGATGTTTATTTTCCAAAATAAACTTTTTTGAATCTATGAGACCAGACTTAATGCCTTTATCCATTCAAAAGATCAGAAAATGCCAGGTGTATTTGTGACTTGGCTTTTTGGAGAGCGATTGGTCTTTGATGAGTCCCACCCACACCAGTGAGAGGGATGGGGTGAAGTGACTCTCATTTTGAGCTTAATGAAGAGACGCTTCAGTGAGACTGTTTTAGGGATCTTGATATGTGCCTCTTATGCTTAGGGACTATGAGAATTGGGGTTGGACTTACACATGAGTTATCTAAAGGTTGACAAATGGGAATGGCTGTTGCTAACTAATCGTAGAAGAGCCTGCCCTCTTGGTGTATTGAAGTAAAGAATATGTGATTTGTCCTACAGATCAGAGGGGATCCATGTGTATGAGAACCAGCATGGGTGTCCGAAAGGATTGTACAAGGGGCATTTAGAATGGGAAGTGTTGCTCATCAATAAAAGCTGTAGGAATCACACACTCATTCCAGTGGTTGAGGAAGACACTATAAAAGACAGGCTGAACTTCCAGTTTCAAGGAATCTGCTGGTGAGAGAGGTCAGTGGTAGGGCAGAGGAGGGTTTCTGAAGGGTTTCTGTAAAGAGTTCGCAATAACACCTTAAAAGAGAAAAATACAGATTTAAATTTCTGGAGAACCAGGGAAAGCAAAACTACTTCTTAAATTTATCAGTAAGATAATAATTTTTTCCTCCCATAAAATACTCATTCTGGAAAAGGGAAGGGAAGTTTTAACTTTAGTCACATCTAGCATGTGTGTTACCGTAAGAGGATGTTCATTCCAATTTCTGAATGAAGTCTGTGTTTACTAACTTAAAGTGACCATAGGGTTTTTCATTAACCAAGAATAAGCAGAGAAGCTGTGGTGGCTAACTACATTTTCAGAGAAGGGCAAGAGAAGAAGTAAATCCATTGAGCAAATTTAAATCAAAAGTGAGACTTAAAGTTGCTATATGGTTATATCCTACCAATCACGTTTGTTCAATGAACCAATAACATTCACATCTATAAATCTGTTTTACTTCACCTTTCCTACTTGTTGTCATTGCTTTATGGAAGAGACTGTGGCACTAGAAGTAGGTGGAGCTCCTTTTCGTAGATACTTTTGTTAAGTAAGAGTTGGCTGCTCATAATTGAGACAGCTATAATGGGTAGGCTAGAGGGGAGAGAGGGCTCACTTCCATCTCTTCTCACTTTCCTGATACTTAATATCAATAACAATCACTTTGTGAATGAGGGTGATTACAAAGGGAATGATTAGAATCAGGGTAAACTTTGCTGAATATCCAGCTTGAGGAGTAGAAAAAAAATTTTAATCTGCCTCGATTCTTCTTCCTTTGTGTTCTAGACTTCTCTTTTGGTGGTGCAGTATATCAACATGACACAGACCATGAGAATATTATAGTTTTGAATGCTTATTTTGGAAGGTAATGCTATGGGTTGAACTTGTCTTTCCCAAGGTGATATGTGAAATCCTAACCCGCAGTAATTTCTAACACCTTGGTCTCAGACTTCTAGCCTCCAAGACTGTAAAACAACAGATGTCTGTGGTAAGCCACCCACTATTTGGCACTTTGCTATGGTAGTCCTAACAAACTAAAACAGTGGGTTATGAAGGTGCTTTCTGGAAGAGCCTGAATTGAAGGAAGGGTTCAGAGAAAACACAATAATTTTAGAAAAATAATTTACATATAAATTTAAGAGAAAGATTATATTTTTTAGTAGGACCAGAGGAAGCACAACATGTATCCAATGAAATATCCTAAGATTTTATGCGTCACATGGGTTTCTCTCTGTGAGATATAATCTCAGGGATTCAAGGGGTCAGAGCTACTGAAGTGGGGTTTGGTGGAGGAGCAAGTGTTGAATGTTGAATGGTGGTAATACATTAAGTTCTCATGAAGTTATTATAACACCAGGCAGCAGTTTCACATGCCTAACAAAAAGAAACTATTGAAACAGTTGCAGAGGGTAGGGGCTGATAAGACCCAGAAAACCAGGATGTGGGCCAAGCTGGCTAAGACCCACTGGACCCAACATGGCACTGGATTTCACCTAAGTGTCACTTAGGACCTCATTATAGGCTCATTAACTACTAAATCACACACCCACCATAACACTTCTGGAAACATCCATATTTGGTGTAAAAATGGGTAGTACCACAGTTCTGAGAAATCATCACCTTTCTCCTATATTCATGAATATTCCACCGGTTGATTAAAGAAACCCATAAAGGTAGCAGCTCCGAACTCCATCATGTGATTCATTCTTTTGAGTATACACACATTCGCTTTTCTTGTATACTTTTCTCTTTGCAGTAAATCTCCATACTTTCACAATTTTCTGACTCATCCTTGAATTCCTTCTTGAGATGTTTTCAAGAGCCCAGACACTGGCCATTGTCAAGGTCCCACTGGTGTTTGAGGACCTCCTCTCTGGTGTCAGGAAATACTAGCTATTTTTATATTTTATTATGACCACTTTTGGTACATTTTTGCCTTCCCAAATTAATTATAAGCTTCCGGGGTCAGAAAATATGCTCTGCAATTCTTAAAATCCTCTAGAAAATAGAAAATTTATTTGTATATATTAGGCAGCTAATAAATTCAGGCTAAAGTGAGAATATCTGAACAGTGTAAGATTATATTTTTGGACCACACACACTTAATTCCTGTATAGACAGCTACATTTTCTCCATTACAAAAGACCAATTGGGTGCTATGTTTTTTAAAAATCTACTGCATTTTAATTAGCTTTGATTAACAGTGCAAAGTGCTAAAGACAAACAGGATCCATTTTTTTTAAGTCAGTATGCAAGGGATTTACATTCAGTAGTCTAACTCTTTCACATATCACCAGCAGAATTGGGCCCCAAGCAATTTATTCATTTGCAGCTATAATAAATGACTCAGGGGATTGAAATGGTGAAGAAGTCTGCCATGTGAAGATTTGTAGTGATTGGTTACAACAGGAAAATGAATTCCACAAAGCCAACTAGAGTATGTATAATGAGTTCATTGCTTCAGTTACCACAAAAAAGAAATGCCAAAGGTTTAGTTTCCATATATAAAACAAAAATCACTGGTAATATCATGTGGAAAGCAAAAATGTTGGGACAACAGAATCCAGCAATAATTATTCATATAAAACAGTACAGGCTGTTGTAGCATCTTAGGCAGCTGGCTATAGTCCATACAACTTCTGAAGACTACTTTTAATCCTAGATATTGTCTGCTCTTGGCTTCTCACCTACCCTTTGGTAGTATCCTTTTTATCTTTGGGGCTAGAAGCCTGAAAACTCTTTTCCAGCTCCCTACCTACTGGTTTCCTGTTAGGGTCTGCCAATGGGAGGTATCACTTGGAGATTAAAAAACCAAAGCAAAAGAGAGGCCTTTTTACTTCTTGTTTTAGTACCTCTGGAAGCAACAGCAGGAGCAGAAAGCAGAGGATTGTGACCATAGGCAGCAACATAGGTGGCAAGTTCAGCAACGTCACGGAGTGCAGGCTCCCTTAGCAGCAAAGGTATAGCTCTAGCAGCAGCTGCTCCAGCATGTCAGCAGCAGGCTGCTAGGCTCCAGCCAGTCATGGGGCAGCTCCTTGAACTTCATGTATTACCAATCTGTCCCTTTGTTCCTGCAGCCCCTTTTCTTCTCTCTGTTGCTTCTGCAGTTCCTCATGTACAGTTCCTTGTGTTAAACCTCTTCTTGAAATATCTTGAAAGGCTTCTGTTTTCCTTGTTGGAAACTCACTGATTCAGCATTATCAGTGAGTGTCCCCGGAAACAAATACATCTGGAATTGGTTATGTAATCTGCTCGGGCCTAAATACAGTTGTAATCCCACTGTCAACAGAAAATGGAAAACTAGTACATGTCATGCAGTGGCAAGAGAGTAACTAAAATTATTCCCTGACATTGCCTGAGATGATGTACCTATTAATGTCTAAGCTTGAGGTTGCCAAGTGACTGTTTCATGGTGAACACGTTTACAAGGACTGAGGGGTGATAAGTAGCTTCTGACTACAACAGAGAACTTACTGACAGAAAGGGACAGTCTCTGGGCTTTACATTCTCACCATAAAATATGGATGGAGAGGTTCTGTGATGGCCCCGATAGAGTATCTCATGAGGTTATAGAACTGTGCCACTGAAAGTCAGACCTCAGATTTGATCCCATGAGTTGTTGCAACATCAGTTGCCTTCATAGCTTCAGCATGTCTCTTATGTAAGCACCAGGGCGTTGGTTAATATGGACTAGAAATCTGAAAATTGGAATGAAGGTTTGCGAGTGGGTACAGATTAATCTAAAAGCTTTGAAAATCCTAATCCCTCTGAGCCTTCTTTTCCAAAGGAACTAGCCCTTGTTTCTAAAGAAAGAGGAAACTAGTCTTCCTTTGCTTTGAGAAACTATAACGAGCTCAACTGAAGCAGTTACTTTGCAAGAAGATGTCAATTATTTTCAAGAGATATGCTCATTCCATCTCATTGCCTTCCTGCCCAAAGCCAGAGTTAGATCCCCGTAGGTCCAGGAACGTAAAAGCAAAGTTTGACCTAGAAGAAGATAGCCTACATAGTGAAGGAATTATACCGAAGACTCACATAATTTATATTAGCAAAACCCTGGATATCATATGTAGGAAAGGATGGCAAGGTTGTTATAAACAAAGAAATCTGGAACTAATTATATAATTTGTTTGGTTTTGTTTTTAGGGATTGAGGGTTCTTATTATGTTACCCAGGCTGGTCTCGAACTCCAAAGCTCAAGCAATTCTCTGGCCTCAGCCTCCCAAGGACCTGGGATTACAGATGCAAGCCAATGCGCCTGGCTCTGTTACATAATCTTTTATGCCAAAGGGTACAAAATAATGGATCAGAAGTGGCTCTCACAGCTTCTTTGGTTGATTAAAACATTGACTCAATAGTGATAGGTATTTAATGAGTTTGTGATGACAGAACTTCCCTGGAATAATTTTTAAAAAGAAATCCAAGGATGTAGAAGATAAGAATACTGCAGTATATTTATCATGTGCTACTCACTCGCTTCCATGTTCCCTGGTACTGTCTAGACAATTCTTCATTCCCCATGGCACTGAGAAAGCCTGAATGACAGGAAAACTAGGATCCTTGAGTAGCTTCATGGTGGCTCTCCTGTGCAGGAGACTATTATGGAAAAGGACATCATTGAAAGGGGCTGCCTGATTTCCGTGGTAAGAAGGAAGAGGCAGAGGTTCAATGACAAGGAGGATGCAGTTACAATAATGGGCATCAGGCCTGGAGTGTTTGTTAGAATGTTTTGTCAGGAGGGCATTCTTGGTATTGGCTAATTGATCAAAGGTCCTTCAGATAAAATTAGGCAAGAGGTTGGAAATCTATGGCCCAAGGACCAAATCCAACATGCTATTTTATAAATCAAGTTTTATTGGAATACTGTCTTGCCCTTTCATATGTGTGTTTTCTATGACTGTTTTAACACTACACTTGCAACTGAGATCATATAGTCTGAAATGTCTAAGATAATTACTGTCTAGCCTACTACAGAAAAGCATTTGCTAACCCTGAATTAGTCAGTTAACCAACGATTGTACTGATGTCTGTACAGGTGGCTCTCTATAATTATAAGTTCTATATCCATAGATTCCAACCAGCTGCAGATCAAAAATACTTGAAAAAAACAATAAAATATAATACAAATTTTAAGAATACAGTATAACAACTATTTATATATCATTTACATAATATTAAGTCTCATAAGTAATCTAGAGATGGTTTAACATATGTGGGAGGATGTGCAAAGGCTATATGCAAATACTACACCATTTTGGATAACGGGCTTGAGTATCTGAGGATTTTGGTATCTGTGGGGAATCCTGGAACCAATGCCCCACAGACACTGAGGGACGTATGCCAAAAATCTAGGTCTGGAAGACAGGGACCTTACTGGAATAATTATAATGGAGAATAATGGCCTCTTCCCTAATTCCTAGATCTGAACCAATTAGCCGAACTGGGAATCTCTAAGGATAAAGAGAGCCTAGGTTTTTGTATAAAGTGACTCAGCCATAGTATACCCTGAAAATATTCACATAGACCTTCTGTAAAGAAGCCTATGTCTACTTGACCAGATAACTGTGTACTGGGGAAGGGGGAACTCAGATCTTTAGGGAATTACTAGATGTGGGTGCTGAGTTGATGTTAATCTGTGAGGACCCTAAATGCTGTGGTCACCAATCAGAGGGGAGGCTAGAAGATTAATGGAGTCTTGGCCTGTCTCCATCTTGCAGTGAACCTAGTGGGGACACAGACCGCCCTGGCATTGTTTCCCCAGTTCTTGGGTTCATGTTGGAATAGACATACTAGATGACTACGGAGTCCTCCTCTGGTCCTCTTGAGTCCTGGAGGGAGGTGTCATCTTTGGCCCCGGAGTCACATCAACTTCCTCACAACCTCCCTCTGCTGTTCCCTCTCATTAAACTTCTTTTACTCTTCCTAAACTTTCCATACCTTTTCAATTCAATCCTCTGCTTTTATTTCCTCTCTGAGATAGATATCTTCCTAATTCACTTGCTTACAATCAGCTTGGAGTTTAGACACTGGGAGAAGATACTGAGCTCAGATCATAACGACACCTTCTTCTCAGTTTCCTCAAGTCTGCTATGACTATGTAATGCCCAGAGAGGCCAAGCAAATTGCACAGTGTCATATAGTTAGAAAGTTGCAAAACACCAGTATAAGAATTTCTGGCTCCTGGCTAGTGACTCTAAACTTCTATTTGAATTGCTCTTACATCATTAAAAAACAAACAAACAAACAAACAAACAAACATAGTAGTCCCAGCTACTCGGGAGGCTGAGGCAGGAGAATGGCGTGAACCTGGGAGGCAGAGCTTGCAGTGAGCCGAGATTGCACCACTGCACTCCAGCCTGGGCGACAGAGCGAGACTCCGTGTCAAAAAAAAAAAAAAATTCCAAGATTCCATCATTCCAGAGGTATTTTTGGAACTATAGAGAAAAATATTTAAACATCTTAAGAGTCATAAGGGTGCAAATTTAATCAAATAATGTAGTAGCCTGGGTAGAATAGCTGATTTTTGAGGTGATTAGATTAATTAGGTAGTATTGTCTCAAACTGAAGGAAGTGGAGTCAGTGAGTAGCTTTTCTTCTAAGTTGTAGAGTTGAAGACAGATGACTGTGGGAAGGGGCTCAGCTCAGCAATTGGGATCAAGGATGGAATGCATATCTAGATATCTGCACAAATACACGGATATTTGCTCATCTGGATGTTTGTCTGCACATCAACATATCTCTATTGCCTAGTATATTTTTACTCATTTGATTTCAACTGGCTGAGGAGACATACCCCTAAATTGCATGAGGTAACATAATTAACTTCTTAATGAGTATGATTTTTAACCTCAGGCATATTCATTTACAATAAAATATAGAAAATAGTTAAAAGAAAAAACTATAATAGGAATAGTTCTGTATTAAGATAACAGTGTTTTTTCTTATATTTATAACACATGCAAGATTTTGACCTAATAACTAGAGAGTCTTTCAGTTCCACTTTAAAATGTAAAATTGAGAAATAAATTTGGATGTGTGTTTAAAATTGATATCTTACCATGAAGTATTGGAACGTAGAGCAGAACTTAAAAACAATCAAATTTTTATTTGATTTATACGAAGTTGTATTTATAAAACATATAAGCATTACTTAATTTCTTGTTAAGTTTCATCCAACAATTGAAGTAATTAAAAGGAAATCAAATACAGTATATTAAATTTATACATGCAATTTAAAAGTTTGAAGTTGTTTAATTAACTAAATTTGTAAGTGGGATCAAACAGTAATCAAACGCTTCCTTAAAGATAATTACTAAAATTTGTTATACTTATAAATAGAATAATAACTTTTATATGCTGAATTGAAAAGCTTAAGGTAGAACTAGGCTTACAAATTTGTTATTAGTGCATTGCATATTAACTTAAATGAAGTAAACCCCTGAATAATTACTGTTATACTCCAAAGTCACAAATTAGACACAAAAAAATGATATCTTGGGACTAAATACATAAAGATTAGCATTTTCCACACAATAAAGTCCTTAAACACAAGTCAACTGTCCTAACTTGTATTCCCATAGACACTGAAGAAAAACCTGGCTGTGTTGAAATTAAATAAAAATAATAGATGGTAAATTAGTGTACAGCCTGGAATTTTCAAGGTTAATTTTGACCGTAAGTCATTTTTTTTTTGCTTTGTTTAAAACTTCCTATGGAAAACTAACTCTACTCATAGAGACTTCAGAACATTCACTCATAAAATTTCAGCCTTGAAAAGAATCTCAGACCTCATCAATTCCAACCCCTCATTTTGCAATAAGGGAATGGCACCTCAGAGATGTAGAATACCTACTGGCATAGAGACAGATTATGAAAGAACTGAGACAGGAAGCCAAATCTCCTGGGCACCAGCGCCAGTTATCATCTCTAATTCATAGCGCTTAACTGATCAAGTCTTTCAACACTTGACCCCTGAGCCAGGTCATCATTTTACCCTCCAATTTAGAAATGGGAATCAGGAAATTAATGCCACATTATGCAGTGATGTCATCATTATTAGCACCATCCCAGCTGAGATCCTAGAGCTCAGTTTTTTCACAAGGCCCTGTTGCTTTCATTTTTCAACCTGGCACCTTCTGTTGCCACTAAGTATTCACTTGGAGTTCTTTTAAAAGGAAAGTTTCACACACTTCCTATGGCCTCTATGCTCTCATAGAAGGAGTGACATTTGAGAATTCTGACAGTAAGACATCTCTGACTTCAATCACAGAGTGCGAAAATGAATATTTTCCACATGCAACTTTGAAGGTTGGTGCTCTTTTAACATAGCCTTTCAGTTTTACTTGAGATTGACTGCAGGGGAATTGGATGGTAGTTCAAGCAGCACAACAGAGGATGTTTGATAATCAGTGCCCAGTGTAAGAGGAAGGATGATGAGGCCTCTGTTGCACCAAGGCAAGGCAAAGCCCATGGCTCAGGGAGAGATAATTGATTCAAAGAAATTTAGTGCTTCCACAGAAGACTTCCATAGCAAATTGTGTGTGCACAAATTCTGCTCTCAAGCTGGTGTTGATGTTGCTTTCATACTTTTTTCTCCCTAAATTCTTATTGAACAGGGAATTTTCTAAAGTATTGGTTGATATCTGCTCATAGACTATATGTGTCTATTATATTACATATGCAATCTAATATTCTATATGGTTATATATTATATACAATATGTGCAGCTTAAGAAAAATAAGAGAGTAGAAAATGGGAGAGACATTTTAAAAGAAGGAAATAAAGACATGGTCGATGAATGCCTTTTTTCTTTTTGACTAATTTTGAAGGCTAAATCTTCTCTAGATATATGCTCAGTAGTTTACAATAAAATCTTCCTTATAGAAACTAGGATGGTTAGTATTGAAAGCATTAACCTTGATGTTAGATGACTTTGCTTTTTGTTTGCTTATTTCTACATGTAGTATAAACCCACAACACATTATCATTGTTACATTAAATAATTAGAAATCTCTTAAGCCTACCCCATCTTCACTATTCCTGGTGTTCTTCATTGACTTCTGCAGACCTGGGTCCCATTTGCCGTTAATTCATTTCGGCCTGAAGAATTTATTTTAACAATTCTTGTGGTGCAGCTTTCTTGAGACAAATTCTCCCATCTTTTGTCTGAAACGTTTTATTCCTGCTTCATTTCTGAAGGATAATTTTGCTGAATTGGGGATTCTAAATTGACAGTTCCCCCCTCCCCATTCAGCTTTTTAATGATACTGATTCACTGTCTTCATTGTTTCTGATAAGAAGGTCGGCATCATGTGTCACTTTTCCAAGTGTTGTCCCTGATGAAACGCATCACCCACCCCCACCTCTGCTTTATAGATGCTTCTTTGGAAATCACTTCTTTGTCTTTAGTTTTTAGCCGTTTGACAGTGACATGTCTGGGTGGACTTATCCAGCTTGGGGATTCTCTGAACTCGGATGTTGATGTTGATGTTGATGTAATTTAGATACCCCTCCAAATCTCATGTTGAGATGTAATCTACAGTGTTGGAAGTGAGACCTGGTGGGAGGTGTTTGGATTGTGAGGGAAGATTTCTCATAAACAGTTTAGTGCAATCTGTGTGGTGCTGTCCTCCCAAGAGTGAGTGAGTTCTCATTGAGATCTGTTTGTTCAGCAGTATGTGACACCCCCACCCGACCTCCACTCCTGTCCTCACCCCATGTGATGCACCTGCTCCCCCTTTGCCTCCTACCATGACTGTAAGGTTCCTGAGGCCCTCACCAGAAGCCAAGCAGATGCTGGTGTCATGCTCGTACAGTCTGCAGAACCGTGAGCCAATTAAACCTCTTTTCTTTATAAATTACCCAGTCTCATGTATTCCTTTACAGCAATACAAGAATGGCCTAACACAGATGTCTTTCATGAATCTTGGAAAATTTTCTCCCATAATTTCCTTAAATATTTCTTATATACCACTGTCTGTCTCTACTTCTAAGATTCCAATTACATGCATATTAGACTATTGATATTTTTCCCATGTGTCTAAGCTGAATTGTGTTCAACAAAAATTTATATGTTGAACTCCTAACTTCCAGTACCTTCTGAGGTGACCGTATTTGGAGATGGTGTCTTTAAAGAGGTAATTAAGTTTAAACTAGGTCACTGGGGAGGGCCCTTATCTGATATGATTGGTGTCCTTATAAGAGGAAATTTGGATGTAGACAAGTACAGGAGGAAGACCATGTGAAGAGTCAGAGAGAAGACAGCCGTCTACAAGCCAAGGAGAGAGTCCTCAAAGTAGGCCAACCCTGCTAACCACCTTGTTCTCAGGCTTCTAGTTTCCAGAATTGGAATAAATTAATTTCTGATTTTCAAATCACCACATCTGTGGTATTTTGTTACAGTAGACCTAGCAAACTAATACGGTGTTTACATATACTTTCAGTTTGGAAGTTTACATTAATCTGTCTACTAGTTCACTAAATCTGTTTTTATTCTCAGTCCAGTCTGCTGTGTAAGTCTATCAAAAATTTTTTCATTTTCCACATTTCATTTCACATTTCTAACATTTCCATTTTATTCTTTAATACATTTTTGGTCTCTCTGCTGAAATTTCCATTTGCTGGTACACACTGTTCATCTTTTCCACTAAATCCTTTAACATATTTATCATCACTAGATCCTTCAATATATTTATCATAGTTACTGTAAAATTGTTGTGTGATAAGCCCAATAGCTGGGCCACTTCTGGGTCTGCTTCTATCGACGGTTTCCTCTTTTCACCATCAGTCACATTTTCTTGTTTCTTCACTTGCCTCATAATTTTTGATTTATATGCTATGTGCTCTCTCTCTCTCTCTCTCTCTCTCTCTATATATATATATATATATATATATATATATATATAATATATATGCAGTAGAGATTGAAGTAAAGCTTCATTAATATTTACCCTTAGAAGACGGCAAGACGGCATGTCTCCTCTGTCAGGCCATAGTGTTGGGGGTGGGGGGCTGAATCAATCTAAACTTTAATGGAAATGGGTGTAGGCTTTGTTGCAGCTATAAATACATTTCAGTCCACTATTAGTTTGAAATGTTTTGAGGCTCACTGGAAAGTTAATACCCTTTTCTTCCAGGCCCACACTCAGCATTCTGTGCCTGGAAAGACTACTGTTTACCCTGGTTCCTGCTGCCAAGGAAGACCTTGGGATTACCCTTGATGAAGACCTAGAGTACCTCAGTGGGAAGTCTCTCAGTTCGCTTGCCCATCCCCAGTCTTTGGAAGCCACTGCCTCACATTCAGTGAGAACCTGGTGGTCTTAAGAGGCTTCCTCTTAGCTCTGATGCCTTGCCTGAGCTTTCATCATCACCGTCTCACACTTCAAGAAGGCCAGCTCTCTTCGTGGGGTATCTCTTTCAGTTGTGAATCTTTGCCTTTTAAGAATAATTTGTTATTGTTTGCATTTTAGTTCATTTACACTTCTTTGTATTCTCTGCTCTGAGATGGGCTTCTAAAATGCTATGACTTAATAGCACATCTGGATAATTATCATTGTTAGTGCAAGTTTGATCATATCTTGAAACCTTCTACATTCTAACTAAAAGTGGCACTCACTCCTTATTAATTGTTAGGTAAGAAATTCAACCATGCTTGAGGGCAGAACTTAACTATGTTTGAAGGGTAATAACACAAATAAAAGTTCACAGATGCTGAAACATGCAGTGTGTATGAAGAATGTCAAATAGTCTACTTAGGTTGAAGTTTTGATGTATGAAGATGAAATGGAAAATGAGTCAATGTTATAGATGTCTATTGGCTTTGACAGTACAGTTTTCCACCCCTCATTCTAGAATAGATCTTCTGCTTCTATTTGGAGAGCTGTTCCTCACCAATCCAATTATTTTATTTCGACAGAGTTGTTAGCACAGAGATAGGCATGGGAACTCAGCCTGGATAATCACGGTGCCCCATCTCTCAGTTAAAGGTGCAATTATGAGGCCCATGCCAGTATTGTTAATGCATTTCCCTGGAAATCACATACCCCTAAGAGAAAAAAGAGAAGAAAAGCCAAATCTCCTTATGTGTCCAGTAGAAAACAGAGAAGAGGGGATAAACTGAATGCTGGCCCCACCCCACCCCTTGTTTTGAAAGACTTAAACTACTTTGAGCTGGGTGCTGCCACTTGTAATCTCGAGATCTGACTATTCCTCCACCTTCTTTCTTTATCTGTAATAAAATATTTAGATTGATCACTCCATTATACTATCGAGTTAGCTCATGACATACATTCCAGAGGCTTCTTCTCAACTTATTTCTAAAACCAATGTAAAAATTTCAAAAATAACATTTAAAGATTTAGAGATTTCATAGTACTGTTAGATGGACCACTTCATTTAGGCATACTTTTGAAAGACCACTTAACCATGTGATGACCCTCATTCTACAAATGAGCAAATTATGACACAAACAATTTAAATAATATGAGCCAAGTTACATAAATGTTGCCAGAACTTTTTCAATATGCTGATTTGGCAATTTTCTTCTCTTTTATTCTAGAAAATATTTTTTATAGAATAAAAATGACTCATAGGAGAATTGTCTACATTATTCTCTTATTGACTAGAGGATTCCAACTTGACTCCCTTTTGTACCTTTATTTACAGTCATTAAAATGCACCAAAAATTAGCATACCAATAATAACAGCTATTGAAATTCTGACAAACAAAATATTTTGTTAAGTAGAAAGGATCAAAAGATAGTTCTAATATTCAGCTGTCATGTAGAGAGAAATAAGATACATAAGTTAATTACTATAATAAAATTGGTACTTCAGGGTAGATATCACAGATTAAAATTATATTCTCACTTCTAAATTAACTCATTTAATATATGTCTCTCTGATCACAAGCTCCATGAAGACAAGAGCCATGTCCATTGTCTTTACTACTGTTTCCCAGTCCCTACTTTAGTACTTGATATATAATTTTGATACATAATTTGCATTCAGTAAGTATTTGGGAGGTGAATGTGTAAATGAGAGACACTACTCAGTTTTAAAATAGAGCAAGATTACTTCTAGCTGAGATGATTGAGGAAAGCTTTTTCTAGCAGACAGCATTTCAACTGGGCCGGCAAGGCTGGTTGGGATTTGAGCAAGATTGGGTTTGAGGCAGGGGAGCTACATAAATAGGAGCACACAGGTGTCAAAATATGCAGCATGTATGGAGAATGTCAAACAGCTCCGTTTGGTTGAAGTATTTGATATATGAAGGGAGTGGTAGAAAATGAGGTTGGAAAGCAGGTTTGGGACCAGAGGGCCTTTTATTTCGTAGACAATGGGGAGTCAGTGAAGGATTGTGCCCTGGGGAACGAACAGAGCCATGGTACAGGGTGATTAATCTGGAAGATGTCTGCAGACTGGATTAGAATGTGGAGAGATTGGAGGTAAGGAGACAAGTTAGCTATAAATTGCGGGTGAATAACGATGAAGTCTGAAAACAGAATGAAAGAAGTGGGAATAGAGATAAAGTGACATATAGTACTTTTTCTTACTATTAACAATTATTATAGCCGCAATAATTATTTACTATTGCAGGCACTTCTGTAGGGGCACTAATGTGTTATTTTATTGTTTCCACAAAACAACCCTATTAGGTATATAATATTTTCCCTATTTTGCACTTAAGAATCACAGGGCACCAGATCACGCTTAGCAATTGTCTGAGCCAGGATTTTAACCCAGATAATGTTACTCCTGAACCCAAGCTCATAGCAATTCTTAGTTATACAAAAGTTAAATCTGAAGTCCTGAGTAACTCTCTAGATGTGGAGTATAAAGGAAGAGAGTTTCTTCCTATTTTACCTATATGATTTCAAATTTATAATAGTAACAGAAGGAACAGTTTGTGTTTAGACTGAGGATATATTGGGTTTGTGATTCCTGGGGTATCCAGGTGGAAAGTTCTAGCAAGCAACTTGAAATGTAAGACTGAAGCTCAAAAGACGGTCTGGAAGTGGAGATTTAGGAAGTGTTAGCACAGAGGAAATATTTGAAATCATGCTATTGTCACGACAAAGAGTATAGAAAATCAGCACAGAGGGCCAAGAACCAACCCTTTGAGAATTCCTACGTGGATTCGAAGAAGAAAAAAGGAACAGAAAAAAGCAGTAGCAAAAAGACAGATGATATTATGGATTGAATTGTGTCCCATAAAAAGATAGGTTAAAGTCCTAACCCCTAGTAGCTAACAGTGTGACCTTTTTTGGAAATATGGTTTTTGCAGATCAGACTAGGTTTAGATGAGGTTATTAGGGTAGGTTTTGATCCAATATGACTGATGTCCTCATCAAAGGGGAAATTTAAACACAGACACACAGAGAGGGAGACAATTTAAAGATGACCATTTGACTGGACATGAGACATCTACAAACTAAAGAATTCTAAGGATTGCCAGCAAATACCAGAAGCTACAGGGTCAAGGAAGAATTCGCCCCTGGAGCCATCAGAGAGAGCATGGCTCTGCCAACACCTTGCCTTTGTACCTCTAGCCTTCAGAACCGTAGACAAATTTCTATTGTTTCAAGCCACCCAGTTTTTGTATTTTGCTACAGCATCCCTAGAAAACTAATACAAAAGGCTGGCTGGGCACGGTGTGGTTCATGCCTGTAATTCCAGCATTTTGGGAGGCCCAGGCGGCTAGACCACTTGAGGCCAGGAGTTCAAGACCATCCTGGCTAACATGGTGAAACCCCGCCTCTACTAAAAACACAACAATTAGCTTATCATAGTGGTGTGTGCCTGTAGTACCACCTACTTGGGAGGCTGAGACATGAAGATCGCCTGAACCCAGGAGGTGGAGGTTGCAGTGAGCCAAGATCACGCCACTGCCCTCCAGCCTGGGCAACAGAGCGAGAGTAAAGGCAAACCAAGAGATTTTTATTGGATAACACACATGTACACACACACACACACGCGTGCGCGTACACACACACACACACCAGACTATTTCAAAAGGATGGGAATGGTCAAAGAGTGCTCAGTGTTGTAGAGACATGCTTGAGTATAAAGACTAAGTAAATTCTATTTTTTTTTGATAGGTGCTGATTAGTGATACTTGAGTGATCAGTTTCAGTGCAGTGGTATGGAAAGAAACTTATTTCAAACTCAAATACCTACACATACCAGGCAGTTAACTAAAGGATGTGGAATATCGGATTGTATTTACCATTGACAAATGATAAAAACTGTGACAAGCTGAAGACTGCACACTCCATAAGTGCATTCTATTTGTTTAAATTATTGGGATGGATGGCAAAGAAAAACACATCTGCCATCCATGAATGTGCATCTTTTGTATCACTGAATGAGTGTGTTATCACTAATTCCCCAAGCCTGATGATACAAGGGAAGAGCAGAAGTTTAAGGAGGTTTCAGGACAAAAGGAAAGAATTTATTTTAAGAATTCTGCAGAGAATGTTTGTACGTTAAAGCTGAACTTTCAGTGCAAAAATAGAAATAAATGGTGCATATTTCATGACTACAAAATTATGAGTAATTATGATTAAAACATAACATATTAAAAAAGTCATGGTCCTTAAACTAATCACATTGAAATTCTGTGCTTTTTTCATTGATAATACTATTGTTTAAATATTACCAAAACAATTTGTTTCAATTAGAAATTACATAATGAGTTTCATAAGAAATTCAGTATTTTCATTTAATAAGCATCATACTATTTTGAGATAAAATATTAGTATTAATATTAATTATCCTGATTCCTCTGATGTGCTTTGGGTAACAATCAAATCTTACGTTAAAGATGAATATTACCCTGAGGTAATATTGAGGGAAATCTTGAATGTTTTAGTAAACTATGTTTTTCAAGAAATATATTTATTTCATCTGCTTTGTCGCACTTACTGGCATAGAGTTGTTTATAAAACTCCCTTATTAACCTTTCATGTCTGTAGTGAGGTCCTTCCTTTCATGCCCCATATTGGTCATTCATGATTTTTGTAAAATAACTTTTCTAGGGGCTTACCTGTATTATAAATATTTTCCAAGAGTCAACATTTGGCTTTGTTAATTTTATCTACTGTTTGTTCTTTATTTCATGGATACATGCTTTTAGCTTTTATTATTTCCTGAATTCTACTTATTTTGGATGTAGCTTGTTCTTTTTCTAACTTCATATGACGAAAACTTAGATCACTGATTTTATACCTTTCTTTTCTTCAAATACAGACCTTTCCAGTTATATATTTTCCTCTAAGTATTGCTTTACTTTACCCACCATATTTTGATTTGTTTGCTTTTTGTTGTCATTCACTTAACATGTTTTCTAATTTGATATTGTTTTCTAGATCCACAGGTTATTTTAAAATAAATTAGTTAATTTTTAAATATTTGGGGATTTTTGGATTAGTATCTTATTGGTATTGATTTAATTGTGTTGTGGTCAGAAAATGTACTTTGTAAAATGTTATTTACTTTTGAAATTTATTGAGACTTTTTTATGACCTGGCATGTGGTCCATCTTGGTGAAGTAGCTATATAAAGTCTTTCTTTTGAAAATCAAGTGTATTCAATAGTTGAAGTTTTAATGCTCTATAAATGCCAATTAGGTACAGTTGATCGATAGTGATGTTACATCTGCAACATCCTCACCACTTTTTTTCTGCTTGTTTTATCAATACCAAGAAATGGATGTTTAATCTCTGATTCTACAAATGTGTCTATTTTCCCTGTTGGCTATATCAGTTTTGCTTCTTGAGCTTTAACACCTATTTATTAGGTGCTTATATATTGAGAATTGCCATGTCTTTCTTGTGAAATGTTACTTTTATCATTATGTGAAGTTCCCATTTGTCTTCTGTAATATTCTTTGTCTGGAAATTTATTTTGCTGTGTACTAATTTAACTGTACCAGCTTTATTATGCTATGGCTGCATAGTATAATTTTTCCAACATTTTACTTTCACTCTATGTCTTTATATTTATATTGTATGTGTTATATATAGTATATATTTGACTTCTGCCTTTTGACTATTCTGATCATCCTTCCCTTTGAATGAGATATTTAGATCATTGTCCTTTTCTGAAGACATTCAAAAGGATGTGGTGAAGGCACTGGAAATAGTTTTAAAAAGAATTTTTATTTGTGTGAGCAGTAAAAACTTCATTAGAATAAGCATGACTATTATGAAGACAATAGTAATATTTTAATAAATTAATTTAAATGGAACAGATTACACAAGTATCCTCCATTTAATGCACAAGATATTGATGGAGTGCTTTGACCCTTGGCTTATATTTTTGCTTCTGCTTTCTTCATAACTTTTCATTAAGCTCTATTTCTTTACTGTCATTAAGGCTTTCCAGTTTATGCTGGCAAACTCTTTCTACTTCCTATCACATATTTGATTATATCTAAGTTTCTAAAGATCAGATGGCAGCTTTTAGTTTATGAGAAGCCAGGAAAAGGCACATTCCTCATGTTTTTATTCGATTAATTTTGGCAGGGTTGCTTTTGCTAGCTTATTCATTTCACATGTGAACAAAAAGAAAAACAATAAATATTTTTAAAAATAACAGTCTCCATGGAGTCACATTACATTTGGCTTCTGTGGAATACATCTGATTGTAGATTTGACAGATGTAAGTTAATACAGTAGTAGCAATGAACTCATTTAATGACATACTTTTCTTTCAAGTATTTTTATTTTAGCAGCATTTATTCTTAGTACACTGAAAGTTTTTGAATAGTTGTAGTTGCCACTGTAACATTAAGTGGCTCTAATTGCTCTGCTGTTCCACCCTAGATGGAAATCGGTTGGGCCATAATATTTGAGTTCCTTGTTATATTTTCTGTGCAGGAAGTATAACAATTACTCTCCATTTGGAAGCCCATAATAAGCAGGGAAAAATAAAATTTAAGAATTTTAAAATTTGGTAGCTTGATGGATATTTACAAACTATTTCTTGTCCATATGCATTTGATCACAATAGTTATCACTAGAAACAGAAGTAAAATCCAGATCATCTGGCAATAATTTGAATGTTTTTCTCATTACAATAAATTGTATAAATTTTACCCTTATGATATTTTCTCCCTTTTAAAAAAATATTGGAGTCAACTTTAAGTTGCTAACTTGAGAATCTCAACTGCTTCCAGCTAAATTTTCTGAGCTATACACCTTCAAACACACGCACACATACCCCTAAAGGATCACAGGTATATCAATTAAATATGTGTGTCAGCCTTTATCATGCCTTGCTGGCATAATGCAAATCTCCTAACTGGCTTTCTTACCTATAGTCTCTTCCTACTGTAATTAATCTTAAACAATTTTATGGAATGATTTTTCTTAAACCAAATCTGGATTATATTGGTAATTCTCCATTGCTCCATTAGTCTAGAATGCTTTAAATGGTTTTATTAATAGCATGTCCACATTCGAAACTGTCACCATCCAAATTCATAACAAGTTCAGCATCAGAATTCAAGCTTAGAATCCTTCCAGGTATGTCTTCTTTTGGTTCATTCTCAATTGTGTCTTTTGCTCATGTAGCAATAAAATATAAGCGTTAGTCTTGCTAAGCCTCACCTTTAGTTAGTTATTTGTCTTGGATCAGTTTTCCCCATTTGAGTCTGAAAATTCAACTCCTGTTTCTAAACTTGTGGTAAATTTTCCCTTTTACGTCCTCCACAAAAAAATACAAAAATAATACAGAGGCCTTATTTCTATTTTAGTTCTAGAAAATTATGACAAGGCTCTCAATATTAGAGCAAAAACTGGAACTTTGCCATAATACGATTCCCATTAAGACTGGCTCTAAAGTCAAGGTACTGGGACCCATTCTAAAGGACAATATAATTTGTTTTTAAACCTTGTGTCCGTTAGAAATAATTGGGTCAGAGCGGGTTACAAATGGCAGAAATCTGATTCAAACAGAGTCAAATAAAAAAGATTATTTGTTGTTTAACTTATCTGAAAATCTAGATTTAAAGCTAACTTTTGGCCTGGTTGCATTCAGAACTCAAATGATATCAACATGACTCTCCTCTTTCTCTCATCTCTCTGCATTTTCTGTTTTGCTTAATTCATAATGGGGTTAGGCAAAGAACTTCTATAACCCAATATTTCCCTCCAAAAAAACCCCCTAAGATTGCCTCTCATTTGGATCACCATTACTGATGTGTGGAACGGAATGGAATAACATTCACAGATTGATTTTTCGTGTCTTATTTGTAGAACATTGTTTGTTATCTACCCAAAATTTACTCTCTTCCTCTGCCCAACTCTAGGTGAACCCTGAATTTCTTAAAATATTCATCCTTTCTCTATATGATTCAGGAGACATTGATCTTATTATTGGTCCTGACCAATAATAAATCCTGACATGTTAGGCCAAATTTTATAATTCCATCCCTTCTGGTATTGAAGGTAGTGGGAATGGCATGTGAAGTATCTCTTGCCAATGAGACAAGAAGCTTAATCAAGTACAAGTGAAAATAGGCTTACTGCTACTAAGAAAGGGAAGCAATAAGAAATGCTCACTTTTTCCCCCTTCTGGACATTGTCAGGCCTGAATATGATAATAGTACTGAGGCAGTCATCTAACTGATGACTTCAGCATGATTTCATTACCAGGAGGGGAACAAAGTCAAGAAAATCACAATGAAGCAGAGATTAAAGCCTGAGGAATTATGCCTAGAGTCAGCACTTACTCGCTCCTTCCATATATTCTGCTATAAACACCTCTATTGTTTAACTCAGTTTGTGTTGGGATTTTCTTTCCCAGGCAAAAGCAACTTTTTTTAAAAAAAACAACAACATTATTTTAATTTTTTTTGTGGGTATATATTTATGGGATGTATGGAATCTTTTGATACAGGAATATAATATGTAATAACTTCACTAGGGTAAATAAGGTATCCATCACCTCAAGCATTTATCCTTTATGCTACAAACAATCCAAGCATGCTCTTTTAGTTATTGTAATGTACAATTAAATTATGATTGACTATAGTCACCCTTTTGTGCTACCAAATACTAGATCTTATTCATTTTTTCTGACTATTTTTTGTACTCATTAACTATTTCCCCTCCCACTCTACCCCTACCCCATTACCCTTCCCAGCCTCTGGTAACCGTAATTCTACTCTCTATCTCCGTGAGTTCAATTATTTTAATTTTTGGTTCCCATAAGTAAGTGAGAACATGTGAAATCTGTCTGTCTGTGCCTGAATTATGTCACTTAACATAACTCCACATCCATCCATGTTGTTGCCAATGACAAGATCTCACACTTTCTATGGCTGAATAGTATTCCATTGTGTATATGTAGCATGTTTTCTTTATCCATTTGTTTACTGATGGACACTGGGTTGCTTCCAAGCCTTGGCTATTGTGAATAGTGCTGTAGTAAACATGGGAATGAAGATATCTCTTTGATATATTCATTTATTTTCTTTTGGGTATATGCCTAGCCATGGGATTGCCGAATCATGTGGTAGTTGTATTTTTATTTTTGAGACACCTCCAAACTGTTCTCCATAGTGGTTGTACTAATTTACATTCCTGACAAGAGTGTATGAGGGTCCCCTTTACTCCACATCCTTGCTAGCATTTGTGATTGCCTGTCTTTTGGATAAAAGCCATTTTAACTGGAGTGAGATGATATCTCATTCTAGTTTTGGTTTGCATTCCTCTGATGATCAATAATGTTGAGCACCTTTTCATATGCCTGTTAGGCAAAAGCATCTTAACTGATATTCCATTGATGCTTTAGGTGTATCTGTACGTGTGTTTGAGGGTGTCTGGCTCTGAAAATTTAGCTGAAAGCAGTTGAGATTCTCAAATTAGCAACTTAAAGTTGACTCCAATAATTCCTACTTTAAAGACCAATAATTATGAGCTCCTGTTAAGAAAAAATATAGTCTTTGCTCAACTAATTATTTATTGGTTATAAAACATGGTTATGAAAAAATCTAAAAACCTAAATCTCATAAAAAAAGAAGCAATGAGAAAAATATGGTTTACAGGTATTATTCAACAATAACAGATGCTCATTTTTGTTCAAGGTTCTTCTACTGGGAGTGAGAGTAAATTGAGAGAAGTTGTATTTCAGTATTAATTAAAAATGAAAAGTGGGGGTTTTTTAATTGAATTCTCTTTGGAAACTAATAATTTACCTATACCCTTAAGATACACAGTAATTTGTTGGAAGAAAGTCAAATAATTTAAACACATTTCATATAATGTGTGTGTTTTTTTTTTAAAAAGTTCCCGTGGAATAAACAGGTGAAAATAAAACATTAAAAAAAATCAAAGACCCTGAAAAGAAGAAATTTGACCCTAAAATCTCAAACATTCGCATACTGTGGCTTATTTCAACTTACTGGCAGTGTGATATGGTCGGAAGAGAGGGCCATTTGCAAGACAGAGAAAAGGTAAAGAGAGAGAAATTATGTGGAAAGGAAGGAGAGAACACAAACGAGTTTATTTTCTAAAGTGTACAAAATGTTAAGTACCTCATCAATTATATTCAACACAATTGGGAGGCTTAACAGTGGCAAGGAGACCTATATAGATTATATCTATGTAATCTATATATTTCTTTCTGTAACTGCCAGAACTCCCTAGAAACCCAAAGTTCAGTTAACTTTCTGAAGTTCACTAAGTAGAGAAACATCCTGCTGTGGTGATCTGTTCACTTGGCAAAAAGGAAGTCAGGAGCTGTGATTAAAGCTCTGCTAGTATTCAGCAGCAAGAGCTTAATTTCCTGCTTTCCCTGGTATATATACAGTGTTTGGCCAGGCAGTGATGTTTCCCTGTGAACTCTATCTCCAACCCCCTCTCTTCTTCCCTTTTTGAATGGCATGCTCTGTCTTGAAATGTCAAGTCTCACTATGCAATTATGTAATTCAACCTCTACAGGACTCGGATGATTATGCAATTAGGAAAACCCTAAGGTTTTAGCTGCTTGTTCCTTAATCTTTCTTGGATGGCCCTGGCTGTATAACTCTGCAAAAAGCTCTCTTTTCAGAACTGGACAGCATCTCATGGACATCCTTTTCTCCAGTCCATCACCTCTGAAATCTTTTTTGGATGCTGTTTCTTTGGACTGAGAATATTAACAAACCATTATTACAATAGGAGGTAGGCTTAATCATGTTCAATACAAGTTTTCCCTGGAGGTAAGTTTCTTGGTCACTTTCTTCTCCCCGGAATGGTCTTCACATTGTTCCTGCTCTTATTATTTCAGGACTATTACCTGACACTGTACATTGGTGCTAGTAAGGTAAATAAACTTTATTTACAAAGAAGAAAATGGTAGAGAAAAAGAGAAAGCATGTGATGAAAATGTGATTCAGTACACAAATCGGTAAATGTAGCCAATTTCCACTTCTGGGGAATTACAGCCAAGTAAATATTACCCAGGGGTGGCTTATGCAATTTTTGTGTGTGTGATGCAACAGTAAAAATGCCAAAACAAAACAACAATGGTTCCAGTCCTTCGACTGGACAAAAAAATGTTTGAGATATCTGATCACATTAATCATCCAAAGGAATGAAATATGGAAATATGGTAGTTATTTGACTGAACAAACATTTAAAATAAAATTTAAGTCATATTTAGCAAAATGGGCCATTGAATATTGGAATGTATGATCAAGATTTGAAGTAGAGATTTATATGGTAAATTCTGCCAATTCGTCCTAAAGCTTTCCCTTTATACCCAACCTGATTGGTTCATTCATCACTAAGTATAGTTTCCAGGATTATGGTTACATTAGTTCTATAAAAATGCATTTGAAAAGCAACAGAGAATAATTTTAGATGAAAAAAACAAACATAATGCCCATAAACTCCAACCACTTCCTGCCTCAAAAATGAAAAAGACACAATAGCAAATTTATACAAAAACCAGGGCTAGCACTTTAAGATGTCTACATTGCTGTTCTTGTTTGTTATTTATTATTCCCCTAGAGAAGAAAGGGGAAGCCTCATTGAGGAAATTTAGCAATCCATTTTTATCTCCTCTATTGTTTTCTTAGCTATCCTCTTGTGTTTTACTTTTAGTGTTTGCTCTAGGGATTATAATATGCACTCCCAACTTATCACAGTTTATCATATATTAATATTATACCACTTCATGTATGATTAAGAACGTTATAATTGTATAATTCCACTGATACCCTCCCATCTTTTAAATATTGTATTACATTTAATATGTACATATATCTTAAACCACAAAATACATTGCTATTATTTTTGCTCTAAAAACAATGTTATCTTTTAGATACATTTAAAAATGAGAAATAAAAATCTTATATTTACCCACATATTTACTATTATTTCAGCTCTTTATTCTCAATTCTCAGATGTAAATCCTTTCCATGAACCTAAATGACATTTTTCAAAAATGTTTATTATAGAATAAATCCAGTGGTAATAAATAATCTTAGTTTTTATTTATTTGAAAGTTTATTTTGCCTCCATTTTTGAAAGATATTTTTATTAGACACAAAAATCATGGTTAACAGCACTTTTAAAATGTCATTTATTGTCTTCTGGCTAGTACTTCTTCCTGTGCTTATTTCCCCCATCTGGATAAACTTTTAATATTTTCTTTATCACCGGTTTTCAGCAATTTGGCTATGGTTTACATAGGAGGTTTTCCTTCCATTTATCCTGCCTGAGATTTGTTGTATTTCTGGAATCTTGAGTTGCTATTTTTCATCACATTTGGGACAACATTTATTTGTTCTTTTTTCCTTTTTCTCTTTCATTCTTTATGGGGGGTGCATCAGTTTCACACTCCTTTCGGGTCTCCAATTATATAGGTGTTATATCACTTTATGTTTTCTCATAGATGCATTGAAGTTTCGTTCATTTTGTTTTCCCCCCAGCCTTTTCCCTTTTTGTCCTTCAGATTGTGTAGAATTCTGTTGCCCTGTCTTTAAGTTATTAATGTTTTCCTCTGCCATATTTAAACTCCTGAAAAGCCCACCCAGTGCATTTTTAATTTCAGATATTTTATTTTTATTCCTCTTTTTCATTCTTTTATTTTTTTGTTACTACTGAGTTTCCTTATCCATCCATTTGGTATACCACATTATACTTATTTTTTGTTCTTTAGATTCTTGAACCTATTTGTAAGATCATTTTAAAATTCTTGTCTACTATTTCCAACATCTGTTATCACCAGGTCTATTTCTGTTCATCATTCTGATAGAGGCAGGAGGCAGACAAATGCCTAGGCAGACAGGGGTGGGTCCCTGGTGAAATACAACCTTCAAGCCAGAAACAGTCCTGGGTAAATCCTTGGACCAGATTGAGAACCCACCTTCCCAGTTGGCATGCTTTCCTCTTATTGATCCACATCCTTTACCTATTTTACATATACCTAGCCTTTCCTAATTGGTTTTCTATACCATTGAGTGGTGTCTTTGCTTTAACCTTTTTCACATATTCACAAACAAATCAGCACACACTCCCAATCTGAGTCCATAAAAAGCCCTGGGCTCAGCTATATTGATAACTCTCCTGCCTTTGGGTAGGGGACCACCCCAGCATCCCCTTCCCACTAAAAACTGTTTCATCACTCAATAAAACACTTCCCACCATTCTCACTTTTCGGGTGTCTGCATGCCTACTTCTTCCTGGTTGTGAGACAAGAACACAGACCTGGATGAGATAAGGAGCAAAAAATCTTGCATCAAGTCCACGATTCTCAGCTGTCTTCCCTGCTCCCCCTACTTTTCTCTTTTGTGGGTCATATTGTCCTGCCTATTTGCATATCTAGTATTTTTTTTTAATTAAATGCTAGACAGTTGAAGGCAATATTGTTGAGAGTCTGACTTGTGTGCTATTTCTTTAAATAGTTTTGAGTTTTATTCAGTTAGTTAATTTATTGATGATTCTGCTTGATTCTGTTGAGGCTTGTATATAAACCAGGACTAGCATTCTTAGATGTAAATCCTTTCTTTCAACCTAAATGACTTTTTTCAAACATGTTTCATTCAAAACATAATATTCAAAAATGTTATGTTTTGTTAGGGAGCTTTTAAAATAATCTTTATTCTAGATATAGAGTTGCACTACAACTAAGACAGGTCCATTAGAGCACATCAACCGAATGATCACAGTGGTCAGCAAAATCTCTCCATTCTGGTGGTCAGAACTCCAAGGTCTCAAACTCTACATAGTCTCTGGAATAGTTGTTCAGCTCAGAGCTTTTTCAGTTGCTCTTGACTGACAGAACTTTTGGTATCTTTCCTCAAGCATGCACAGTTTAGTGTTAGCTAAAGATACCAAGGGATGCAAATGCAGATATTTTGGGGCTCATTCTCTACACAGCTTTTTTCTCTCTGGTACTATGTTCTATAATTTACAGTTACCTGAACAGTCCTGAAGTCAGATCTCTACTTCCTCAGCTTAGGGAGGTCTGCCATGGACTTTGCCTGCTCATGCTGCAGTGTGGAAATGAACTCCAAGCTGAAAGCTGGGATAGCTGTGGGACTCAACTCATAGATTTCCCTGCTCTAATGATTACCGTTCTGTATTACATTTGTGTGAATTTGAAAACACTTGCTCTGTACACTTTGCCTATTTTTATAGTTGCTTATGGCATGAGAGCTATTCCAATAACTATTACTCTATGATAACTGGAGGGGAAAGTCCATTAAAATATTTAAATGAATAGCTTGCATTATAATTAAATCAAGTCAGTATAGAAACAGGAATTACACCTAAGGATGGAATGCCAATGTCTCTAAAGTCTGCTTTAAAGCTGGCATAATAAATTATAAGGTAGCCATACATTTATAATTTCTGACTAGTACAAACCTTTTTGGGGACCTCCCACCACCATTAGATTTTTTCAAAAGAACATTGGAAAAAAAATCTTGAGTGGTGTACATAAAAGTCTACTTTATGTAGCATAGCATATATATAGTATAGCTTATGAATACTGGATATTTTACTGATATTATTGTATTCCTCCCTTCTTATATGGGATAGGGGAGACATTTTATTTTTTATTATGCTGGCACACAGTTGATATTTTGGTATTTTTAGGTGCCAAAAATGCCTTGGTTATATTTTATGGCTTTGTTCCTGTAGATTTTCTTTAAGGCAGCATTTCCCAAGTGTGCTTCATGAAAACAAAGCTCCAGTATGGGGTAAATTAAGAAAATTCTGCATATTATATCCTTCCCGTGGAGATTCACAATTCACATTATCATATTAAACCCACTGAGAAGTCCTCATGTAAAGACATTAGTAGCATTGTTTAATCTCATTTCCCCACATTTACTTGATCAAGGATCCCTTTTATGTTTTATTCATTATTATTTCAAGATCTGGGAAATACTACTTTAAGTCTACACAGTAGAGGCAGTTTAGTAGAAAGCAAATTTTTCTCTAACTTTTGAGGATGAGGCAAGTGGACACGTTTAAATAGCATAAAACGATATACAAAGGATTACAGAGAGATTTTCCTGACTATAAGAGGAGAGAAACTCGGACAGAGATTACTTAGGTCAAAACTGATGCAGGTTAAACTGAGAAAACTTATGAATTGCACCAAGTATGTGCACACTCTCATGTCTCTCTCCGATTTGCTTTTCATTCAGTCCCTGGGTTCCCATTTGTCTCATGTGAATGAAACTTTCTGCTATCAGCTCTTGGGTAGAGTTGTTGGAAAATTTACTCTCAGCTCTTTTGCCCTCATGTTTTTTGTTTTACTCAGAGGGATGGACAAACTTCAGAATATTCAAGGCTCTTGGCCGGGCATGGTGACTCAGGCCTGTAATCCCAGCACTTTAGGAGGCCGACGAAGGCAGATCACCTGAGGTCGGGAATTTGAGACCAGCCTGGGCAACTTGTTGAAACCCTGTCTCTACTAAAAATACAAAAAAATTAGCTGGGTGTGGTGGTGGGCACCTATAATCCTACCTACTTGGGAGGCTGAGGCAGGAGAATTGCTTGAACCAGGAGGCAGAGGTTGCAGTGAGTTGAGATGGCACCATTGCACTCCAGCCTGGGCAATGAGAACAAAACTCCATCTCAAAAAAACAAAAACAAAAACAAAAAAGAATATCTCAAGGCTCTTCAAAGCTTGAAGAACCTTAGGCTAGTATTCCACATGAAAAAAATCTTCAAAAGGTGATTTTCAGGCACATGCAACAGGACAAAGAGAGATTTTTTTGTTTGTTTCTTTTGTGATGACCCTGCCAAAACATTTCTGAAATCATATCACATATTTAATTCTTTCTTTTACATACCATTAGCAATAAGTATGGTGGACTATGGTCCACCACAGCTACTCTGGTCTTATGGAAAATACAATGCATTTGGGGGCAAACAGGTCCCTGTTTCACCAGTTAATGCTATGGAATTTGGGAAAAAAATTTACTTAGTCTCTCAGAGACAGTATGTTCATCTGTATTATGAGATTAGTAAAGCCCAGCAAAGATCTGTGCTGTCAAAGAAATACAAAATGTTTGTGAATATGATCTATAAACCATAAGTTTCTAAGCCCATAGAAGGCATTAATATGATTATTTTTTACAAAATATAAACCACAGATGTTGAGAGATAATTACGAATGAATTCCTTATATTTCATTATGTATTGGAGCATGCCTTTTTTCTTTATTTTCCCTTCAAAGGAATTTGTATAGAAAACAGCCTTGAAATATAGAAACAATGTTTTCTTCTGGAGCAAAACGCAGGATTCCTTAACATTTTGGAAGATAGAGATAGGAGCTCCCTTTAGGGCAAAGAATAGCTATGCTTGCTTTTCATTATGAAAGATTTGGGCCCCCTAAGACCGGGGTTCCTCTCTTGAAACACAAACCCTGATTATAGAGATGGCCACCCTCAGTGAGACTGCAGCTCTAGTAACTGGGCAAAAGAAATGCTAATAGTAGGCCGGGAGTGGTGGCTCACACCTGTAATCCCAGCACTTTGGGGGTCCGAGGCAGGCTGATCACGAGGTCAAGAGATAGACACCATCCTGGTCAACATGGTGAAACTCTGTCTCTACTAAAAATACAAAAATTAGCCAGGCGTGGTGGCAGGCCCCAGCTACTCAGGAGGCTGAGGCAGGAGAATCACTTGAACCTGGGAGGTGGAGTTTGCTGTGAGCTGAGATCACGCCACCGCACTCTAGCCTGGTGAGAGAGCAAGACTCCGTCTCAAAAAAAAAAAAAAAAAAAAAAAAGAAAAGAAAGAAAATTATTTTTCTCGGATCTAGGAGTCTTACGACTTCTACCAGAACACATAAAGGCTAAATTGACATTTCTTGACAGTAGGCAAGTAACTTTCTGGACTAATTTGGGTTTAGTCTAGCATACAGAAAGCTAGAGTTCACATGGCCTTGGGTATTTCATTGCTATTATTAAATTATCTTATTTTAATGCATTTGAGTCTTGTGATTAAAAGAAATAAACATTCAAGATTCTGATTTTGGTATGTTTTGTGTTGATTTCCTAGCCAACAATAGATTTAACGAGATGCAGTGAAGTGGACGCTGTATTTAAACTCGAACTCTTTAAAAAAATATTCCAAGAAAATTTTGTCTTTATGAAGTAAAAGAAAATTTTAACCTTCTTGCTACTACATAAGTTATGTAAATTAAAATCAGTACACCCTTCAAATTAGTACTTATTTTTAAATAAATAAACAAATATGAAGTGAAAATAAAGCAGTCAATGACCTTCAAATTAATTCACATTTCCCTAGAGACTCCAACATATCTCCACTTACATATTTTTCATTCTGGCTGGAAACAAAAGAGAAAAAAAAAAGTACTCATCTACCCTATCTAGTTTTACAAACTACCAGCTCATATGATTCTTGTTAGAGTTTCCAAATCAAGAATGTTGAGATGTACTTAATTAATTAGTGAGCTCCTTTAAACACTTCCCTTACAGACAATTTTTCCTCATTTTTTACTTTACCTAAAAGGTCTCAAGACATTTAACCAATACTTGGTGTAGTCATTCTTTACAGTAAAAGATAAGAAGGCAGTTTCAATCCTAGGAATGTGAACACATTACAGATATATGCACATTTCTTCAGCTTAGAGTCCATCTAATTTAATTGCAAGTAAAAAACAAATACAAGGACATCAACTCTCAAATTATTTTTCTCGATGGTTGTTGAGCTATCAATCCCTTACCTCTGGGATTATCAGTCTCCCGCAGCACAAGGACTTTACTCCAATTAAGTGAGATCCAAAGGAACTCCATTTTTATTTCAAGATTAAATTTAAGATCAGCTTCTCAAATAGGGAAACTGAAGTAAGAAAATAAGTTTTTTCTTAATAAATTTTAATTTAGAAGATCTCACATTTTTCCTAACTTCTTTACACAACTGGAGTGGGGAGATTTGTTCGTAGCTTATATAGCTACCATCTTTAGGATTAGGCCCCTTTGGGAACTTCTCAGGTACCCCAAAATCATTCTGTAAGCCTTGTTGTGACATGAAAAATTAACATATGCATTGTTTTTGTCTGTGCCTTTCAAAAAGCTCAATTACTCTAAGGTGTTCAAATATTTTGGGAAAGGACTGGATTTTTAAAATTATTTTACAATCAAAAGTCCAATGTGTTCTATTTAAGGGAATAACTGAGAAGCTGTAATTTAACTCAGATTTGTGAGTGCTCCAATACAAAGCGTCATTGGATTTTCAATTATAATGAACAGAATAATAACTAAAGATGTAAACAGAAACAGAAATGACTGTACTATCAAACACCTGCTTCATAATTATTTGAACAACAAAATGTTTTTGAGCCTACCACTTATTTATAATCCTGGCATTTTTTTAAACAAATTCCATCTATGTATCAATCTGCTTAATTATCTTACAGCTCTCCATGAGACAAAGCAACTCAAAAAATAATCTGATCCAGGTGACTAAGTAGAAACAGTAAATCTATCACTGGGAGGTCAGATTACACAAGTAGAGTCAAAAGACGAGGCAGATGTAAAAGTATCTGAAGGTTCTTGTGAATTAAAACTTAAGTCAAAGAGTAATGTAATGACCCCAAAATATCAGTTTCGGACTTAAATTCAGTGGATTTGTTGTAATCTTATAACTGAAAGATGGGAATGGTGTGGAAAAGTATATTTAGAGAGCTATTGCTGAATGAAAGCAGGCGTTTGCCATTCTCCCATAAAGGAGGCTGTGTACAATTTTCATTTGGCATCCTAACAATCTTATATTTGGTTTGAGCAGTACATTTTCATTTCATTCATCATTTAAAGACAGATAATCAGAAAGTCATTACATTGGCCGACACCAGACCCTTTGCTCGATTGTATCATAATTGAGCACTGTGGAGCGTGTGCCAGATCTAATGGATAATGAATATATTATGTCAGTAGAACCGCCTCGGTGAAGCTCCAGGGGAATAGACAGAGGGGGTTGTAGTGATGACATATAGAGTCACAGACGTTGCACTGATTTATGATGGAATGATTGTGTAATTAGGTAATCAATGATGGGTACTGAGCTGTGGTGGGCATCTCGTTTTGGAAATGGAAAGAGTATATGATGGACAAGGCACCATTTATTCAACATAGTTTAGAAAGACCAGACTCTGCTTGGATCAAACCTATAGTTATTGTTAACCATTACAGAGCACCTTTCTCGGAATAGAAAGATAAAGATGTAGACATGGGCCTGGTCATGCCATAATGAGCATACGTAGCACAGCTCTTGTATTACCTTTTCATCGTAACCTGGTCAAGGCCCTTTGTTATTCTTATGAATAATGAAATCAATGCAGAAGTATATAGATACATTCCACAATGGGCCACTTAGAAAATCTCTGTTTCTTTTATAATTAACTATATTGAAGAACATAATTAACTGTATTCAAGTATATTAACTATATTTTTAGGTCCAAGAAACACTTAAGTGCATAATATTAATAACTGATAATGTTGACAATAATATCAGTATTATTAAAATTATTGAGTTCTTTGAAATTTCAGGCTTTTTCTACTTTACATGAATTATTCAAAACAGCCTGAACAGATAAATATTATTATTATCCCCATTATACAGATTTGAAAACAAAAGCATGAACTAATCTAAAAACTTGCCAAGACCACAATGTATTAAATGGCTGAATCAACACTCAAAATGACTATTTAACTCAAAACCCATACTTTAAATCATGCTGCTTAATTATCCTCTTAGCCTGACTCAAGTCCATTGGTGCCTTGTTTCATCTCATTTTCTTTTTTAAAGTCAGTTTCTCACACTGACATTTACGAAAGACATGCAGGAGATCATGCAATCTTACAGATTTTAAAAAGAAGGGGAAAAAAAAGAAGTTGTGGCCAGGTGAGGTGGCTTACCTCTGTAATCCCAGCACTTTGGGAGGCCGGGGCTGGTGGATCGCCTGAAGTCAGGAGTTCGAGACCAGCCTGGCCAACATGGCGAAACCCTGTCACTATTAAAAAATACAAAAATTAGCAGGGCATGGTGGTGGGTGCCTTTAATCCCAGCTACTCAGGAGGCGGAAGCAGGAAAATTGCTTGAACCCAGGAGGCGAAGTTTGCAGTGAGCTGAGATTGCACCCCTGCACTCCAGCCTGGGTGACAAGAGCAAAACTCTGTCTCAAAACAAACAAACAAACAAACAAACAAACAAACAAACAAAAAGAAGTTGTATGTTATGTTTATAACACAAACCAAACAGTGTTAGAGGTAGGGCAAGGGTGCAGATCTTTTGATCCCTGCAGTCTTGCTTCTACACTGGGCAATTTGGTGGGGGAAAAGAGGGTATAAAATGCTTTATGTTTTATTGCCAACACTAGTAATAACTAAATGTTGCCCATTACAGTTTACATGAATGCTATTTACATTCCATCTCTTGTGCATTAGGACTATAGCCCTTGGTTCAATTGCCCTAGGCAATGATTAATATGGCAATCTAGACATGCTATGATTTTGGTGATCTAAAACAAGAAGATAAGCTTTTACAAAATGGTGTGCATTGCCAGAGTTAAAGGGGCTCATTCTTATGTGACATTTAAACATGTGTGACAGTACTTAAAAAGCATTCATGAGACACCAGCATTCAATTAAAAATTACCAAGCATATTATATATAGACCCAACTGATCAAGTGGAGGTGGGGAGCAGATGAGAGAAACGGAATCACAAGTGATATTTGAGTCATCAGACATAGATTTTAAAGTTGCTAAGATTAATATAACTATAAATTAGATGAAAAGACAGCAATTTTTACTTTGTGAGTAGAAATGATATAAAATAGTAAACTGGGAATTGTAGAACCAAAAAATGAAATATCTGCCATTGGATTAGATATAGCAGAAGCGAGGACAGTAACCTGAAAGATAGCTCAGCAAAAATATTCATATTAAAACACACGAGTAATGTTGAAGGATACTAAAAAAAAAAATGGAAAAAGAGACACATGAGACATGTTTGAAAGGCTATTCTATCTATGCATTAGTGGAATCCCAAAAAGAGAAGAGGGTGTATTAGTTATCTATTGTATGTAACAGAATACTACAATACTTGGTAGCTAATACAACAAATATTAATCATCTCACAAATCCTACCAGTCAGGAATCTGGAGAAGAATTAGCTGAATGCTTTTATTTCAAAGTATCCAATTCAGTTTCAGTCACACTGAAAACGGCAGTCTTACCAGAAAGCTTGACAGAGAAAAGACCTCTTGCCAAATTTATTTGCAAGGTTGTTGGCAGGATTCCATTCCTCATTGTCTTTGGTATTAAAAGAGTCAGTTGTTTTCTGGTTATTGGCTGAAGGCCTTGCTCAGTTCTTAGCCACGTGGGCCTCTCCATAGGACAACTCATATCATTGAAAACCATAAAGCCAACATTTGGAGAAACTCAAAAACTTCCAAGCAGAATTTTTTAAAAAAGATTCTGAAATCTAACATAAATAAAAAATATTTAGGGCAACCATAAGAAAAAACATCCACTGTTTTCAAAGAAGAAATAAGCTTTATAGGTTACTTTTCAGGAGAAACTATCAAGCTAGATGGCAATGGAATGACTACTTACAAGTGCTAAGGGGAACCATCTGCCAACTTAGTGTCCTATACCAAGCAAAAAATATTCTTCAATATTATGGGAAAATGCAAAAATTTTCACACAAACAAAAATAAGAATTTGTCACCAACAGAAGAATGTTCAAAAAAACACTAAAGTTATTTATACTGCCATAAGGAACATGATCGCAGATAGAAACATGCCAATTCAAGAAATAAAGAACATTGAAAAGGGTATTACATGGTTAACTATAAATTATTATTGAGATTTGAAAACAATAATAAGTTTCTGTGTATTTAAAATACGTGTAGAACTAAAATTCATGACAAAATAGCACAAAAGGAAGTGGGGATGTGAAGACAGTAAAGTAACATAAGGTTCTAAAAGTACAGAGAGTTATAAGTGTACCATTTTAAAGTGGATGCTAACAATTCGAGAATGCATGTTTATGTTGTAATCTCCTCTACACCTCCAGGGATTATTTCGTCATCACAAAAAGATTTTAAAACAAAATGAATTAGTTGAAATGTCTGATTATTCCAAGAGAAGGCAAGGTGGGAGAAACACACATGAGGAAAGGTTGGAACCAATAAAGAAACAAAATATTAGATTTCAACTCAAATAAATCAATAATTATACTAAATACAAATGAACCAAATATACCAGTTAAAAACTGAAGTGTCAAATGGAGAAAAAGTAAAATGTAACTAACTGTTCTAGGGTATATGATATGCCTATTAAATGTTTGTAGAATGAGTAAGGTAATGACCCAGGTCCTCCATCATAAGTCTACATTTCCTACATTGTAGTAGGCAATGGTTATACATGGCATTTGATAGGTAAAGAGCAAGTTTTACCAACTCCATCTACTGTGCTCTGAGTTTGGGATAATATTAACTTCTTACAGCAATGAGAAAATTTCTACGCTATTGGAAGACAATAGAACTTTTTGTAATATTCTCATAGTGGTTGTGTTTAAAACCTGTCTTAATGCAGTGTCCTATCTCGTAAGTTTGCATAGTGACTGTGAAAAAAAAGTAATTGATATGTGAGACTTTACTGAAATTCATTCTATTCTAGATTAAAAAAAAAAAACACTGGAGAAATCTCAATTTAAAGATAGAATAGCACCATATGTTAAAAAAATCCTAAGGAGAAATTTGCAAGGGCAGAACATAGTAATTGAAAAGGAACTGGCCAGTGTGTCAGAATTCATATTCTCAACTTTGGTTATTTCAGAGAGTGTCATGGGGATTGTTCCAAGGTTGCCAAGATCCAATTTACACTGGAGTTAGTAAAATAACAAAATTTCTTTTCTTCACCATTACTACCTCCCATTATTGTAATCCTTATATACAAAAACAAAAACAACCTTCCCCCTTCACCACCCTAATTTTCGTCCTTTTTGGGGAGATAGGGTTGAAGGAATTTTCTAATATTATTCTGACCTGGGAGGGAGGCAGATAATTTTATTACAGTAAGATACAGGAAAAAGTCTAGCATATTGTTAACTTTCATAATAACAAAAATCGAATTGTGTCCAGATTCCCCACCATGATGACCTCTGAGCCTCCTCTTCTTCACTCTAAAGAATCAAAGGCTCTATTTCATCATACTCAAAATGTTATTTTTATGCCTCAGCATTTATGTTACCTATGCTATGCCATCAGGCAGCATCTAATAAATTGGTAACAATGCAGTCATTCTGTGGGCACAAACATGTCCTGATTTTCTAAGATATCTGTATTGAGATCCTTACTTCTTGTATTAGAATATTCTGGTTCTAATGAAAGGTCATTGGCAAAAAAAAGATCCGTGGGAAGTTTTAAAAAACAATTTGCAAATGTGGCAGAGATAAAATGTCTACTTCTGTCAAAAACAAAGAAATTTCAGGGGTGGAAAACAAAATAACTAAGTTTCTGAGCACGTCAAAACACCTGAAATACAGTAAAACATGCTTCCTAGATTATTAAGACCAGAGAAACAAAATGTTTTAAATCTTCCCTTTACAAGGGCAAATAGTATGTGGAACCTGTGTTGAACTAATCCTTTCCTCCTTTTTCCATTTCCTAAACAGCTTTACCCCTGGTAGCCAAGCTGACTATATATTATGTACAAATGTGTGATAGAGGTGATTTTTAATGGGATTTTCACTGCTAAGGAAGCAGTGATACCCCAGTTTCATAGCACCAAGTATTATTCTCATAATGAACTGTCATTTCATTCATGTCAGTCAAAGAATTACTTTCTTCTCCCTGTACAACAAAACTCTATGTTCTCATAATTTAAAAACTAAAACATTGCCACCAACAAAAGGTCTTTGACAACTTTATTGTCTGTCATAAATCAACCTGGCAAGATCAAGTGACAAAATATGAAATCTCAAACCTATATTTCTGTTAAAATGATAGTATTCACTACACATTTAATGCACATATTTATTTTTTCTACCCTGACAACAAGCAACACGGCCTGATGCTTGATGGGAAAAAAGTCACATTGCATAAATAAAGCAGAAAACAAATTTAAACATATGATATTTCACTTTGTGTAAAAAATCAGACCAAAGGTTTTTTTAAACAATACCAACATATAGAATAATCACAGTAAGCAATGGATCTAAATATTAAAAATATTTCACAATTGCTTCAAAGAGAATAAAATACCTAGGAATCCAGCTTACAAGGGATGTGAAGGACCTCTTCAAGGAGAACTACAAACCACTGCTCAATGAAATGAAAGAGGATACAAACAAATGGAAGAACATTCCATGCTCATGGGTAGGAAGAATCAATATCGTGAAAATGGCCATACTGCCCAAGGTAATTTATAGATTCAATGCCATCCCCATCAAGCTACCAATGACTTTCTTCACAGAATTGGAAAAAACTACTTTAAAGTTCATATGGAAACAAAAAAGAGCCCGCATCGCCAAGTCAATCCTAAGCCAAAAGAACAAAGCTGGAGGCATCACGCTACCTGACTTCAATCTATACTACAAGGCTACAGTAACCAAAACAGCATGGAACTGGTACCAAAACAGAGATATAGATCAATGGAACAGAACAGAGCCCTCAGAAATAACACCGCATATCTACAACTGTCTGATCTTTGACAAACCTGACAAAAACAAGCAATGGGGAAAGGATTCCCTATTTAATAAATGGTGCTGGGAAAACTGGCTAGCCATATGTAGAAAGCTGAAACTGGATCCCTTCCTTACACCTTATACAAAAATTAATTCCAGATGGATTAAAGACTTACATGTTAGACCTAAAGCCATAAAAACCCTGGAAGAAAACCTAGGCATTACCATTCAGGACATAGGCATGGGCAAAGACTTCATGTCTAAAACACCAAAAGCAATGGCAACAAAAGCCAAAACCGACAAATGGGATCTAATTAAACTAAAGAGCTTCTGCACAGCAAAAGAAACTACCCTCAGAGTGAACAGGCAACCTACAGAATGGGAGAAAATTTTCACAACCTACTTATCTGACAAAGGGCTAATATCCAGAATCTACAATGAACTCAAATAAATTTACAAGAAAAAACCAAACAACCCCATCAAAAAGTGGGCAAAGGACATGAACAGACACTTCTCAAAAGAAGACATTTATGCAGCCAAAAAACACATGAAAAAATGCTCACCATCACTGGCCATCAGAGAAATGCAAATCAAAACCACAATGAGATACCATCTCACACCAGTTAGAATGGCGATCATTAAAAAGTCAGGAAACAATGGAAACAACAGGTGCTGGAGAGGATGTGGAGAAATAGGAACACTTTTACACTGTTGGTGGGACTGTAAACTAGTTCAACCATTGTGGAAGTCAGTGTGGCGATTCCTCAGGGATCTAGAACTAGAAATACCATTTGATCCAGCCATCCCATTACTGGGTATATACCCAAAGGACTATAAATCATGCTGCTATAAAGACACGTGCACACGAATGTTTATTGCGGCACTATTCACAATAGCAAAGACTTGGAACCAACCCAAATGTCCAACAATGATAGACTGGATTAAGAAAATGTGGCACATATACACCATGAAATACTATGCAGCCATAAAAAATGATGAGTTCATGTCCTTTGTAGGGACATGGATGAAATTGGAAATCATCATTCTCAGTAAACTATCGCAAGAACAAAAAACCAAACACCGCATCTTCTCACTCATAGGTGGGAACTGAACAATGAGAACACATGGACACAGGAAGGGGAACATCACACTCTGGGGACTGTTGTGGGGTGGGGGGAGGGGGGAGGGATAGCTTTAGGAGATATACCTAATGCTAAATGATGAGTTAACGGGTGCAGCACACCAGCATGGCACATGTATACATATGTAACTAACCTGCACATTGTGCACATGTACCCTAAAACTTAAAGTATAATAATAAATAAAAAAAAGAAGATATTTTACTAGAAAATAATGTTAAGCCACTGAAAATAAAGGCATCTCAAAATGTAAAAAAAAATAAAATAAAATAAAAAATTAAATTATCTTCACTAAAGAATGTAGTACTGGGAAAGGTTTTAAAAACTTCACTAGAGGTCCTTCCAATTCTTTTCACCTGTTTCCTCAACTTGGGGTAGTCGAGGACAAATTGATTACTGTTTTAAACTTCCTTCCAAATTTCCATTGCTGTTATTTATAATTCTATTCCAAATGTAAAATTTAGGCCTTTCCAATATTTGTTTTTAAAATAAAGAGACTTTCTGATTCCTGTGAATAAAAATACTCTGTGCTGATGGAAAAATCAAGAAAAAAAAAGTATATTATAAGACCTTGAATAAGGTTGAGCCATATGAAATGTTTATGTTTTAAAGTCATAATGACTGAATACCAACATTTCAAAGAATTTATCACAATTATCAGTATAATCTCATTAACACTCATAGTATTCTTATTCTATAGATTGAGGACATATTTTATGAAATAGAATTTGTAATTTCTGAGGTTATAAAGGATGCATAAAGGATGGATAATGATATCCAGGCTGCATTCAGGGTAATTCTTAAAGAAGACAGACAGAGGTTGCAGCCATCATCACCCCATAGGAAATGCTCAAAACAATAGAAGGATTGAATGGATGGACTTCATGTTGCTATTTATATGAAGAAGATTAGGGAAAATGTGGATAAGAACAAAAGGTCTTTTTATCATACTAGAGCAAATTGTCAAGTCTATATCTGTACTAGCCTAAAACTTTGCCATTCACCGAAATGAACCGTTGCCTTTTTGCTCTTAAGTCTTGAATTAGGTGATCAACAATCGTTTTATTTATTTTTCTCCTTTAGGCTTGTAACCTTTGACAAACAAAATCTTGTAATTATTGTCTCTCATCACCACTACCCTGTAAGACCTCTGAAGCAGGAGCCTTTTTGTTTGTTTGCTGTTATTTTCCCAACAACTAAAATAGTGTTTACCATGCACCTAGCACTTAAGTAGTTTTGAATAAATGAATGAATTTAATTATAAATAGAAAAATAATTAAAAAGGAGAAAATTGACATAAAATGTGAAGGCAAAAAATAGCCTTTATAAGTCATCACTATAACTGTAAATGAAATTTAAATCAACAGCTAATACTGAGGTTTTCAAAATGAACTAAAATAAATACATATCCTCTTCCCCTCTCTCTCTCTTCCTCTCTGTAGTATCCAATGTAGTATATAAGGTAAATAAAAGGATTGATTATGGAAAAATGAGTAAAGATTTAATATATAAATACTAGCCAAAAGAAGCCTTGTAACTATTTTAACATCAGACCAATAAACTACAGGTTAAAAATATTTTTAGAAATAAAGAGTGTCACTATCTAATGATAAAAGATTCAATTTGCTAGGAAAGTAAAAGAATTCCAAATTTTATAAATCTTATAAATTAGCCTCAAAATATAAACAAAATACGTAGAATTTGATGAATCCACAATCATACTGGGAGGTTTTAATACATTTCTATAATTAATTCATTATCAAACAGGACAAAAAAATAAAGAAAACAATGATATCTAATGAAGACTAGTAAGATTTCAACAGCCTATTTACCCAGCTGAATCAAATGGACATATATGATAGAATATCATCCTCAACAATTGAACAACAGATATTCTGCTCAAACATACACATAATACTGTATTTAGAAAATAAATTCTAAGCCATAAAACACAGTTCATTTAGAAGCATCAGATTCACACTGACAACATCCTATAGCCAGATTAAATCAAGGTAGAAAAAAAAGGATGAAGTCTTCAAAAACAATGGAAAATTTCAACGTATTATTCTAAGTATACCATGAGTAAAGTGGGAAATCAAAACTGAGAATTATAAAATATTTAGAAATGAACAACAATGTAAATTACTGTGGGATGAGGGCAAGTATCAATCAGAAAAAAAATTGCCTTAATGCTTACATTAAGAAAGTAAAAAGGCTGAAAAATGATGGTCTACATATTTATCCAGCTCTAGCAATTAGAAAAGAAATGACAGAATGAATCCAAAGAAAAATAAAGGCAATTGTGAATGAAATAGTAATAAAAGATAAAAGACTCGAAATAATTGACCAAACCAAAAATTATTTTTTGTAAAGACTAATAACAGAGACACCTTTCTGAAAGGGCTGGTTAAATCAACAAGGAAAAAAAAGGCAAAATAAATAATATTAGGAATGACAGCACAGCAGAAGTTAAAAAATAATAGAAGAAAATAATATTTTAGGAAACAAATAGGAAAATTTTCCTATAATAATTTAACTTACCAAAAGTGACTAAGTAGAAATAGAAAGCATCATAAGACCTTTAACTACTTAAGAGACTTAATTAGTAAATTAAAAATACACCCAGAAAAAACACTCAAGACCCAGATAATACTTCTTAACAAATACTTAAGGAACAGCTAATAACTGGAGCACAAATACTTCCAAGGAACAGCAAAGGCACAGTGTTTTCAAGGCCTGCCATATATCAAGTAAGTGTATACAACTTAGCATCAGTTTTAAAGGCAAGATAAAGAAAGGTAGTTTGTTAAAAGATAAATACAGGCCAATCATATTTTCAGATTTAGAAAAAAATTCCAAACAAAATGATAGAAAACTAAATCCATCAATATAATAATAATCATAATAACCATAATTTGTGATCAGAGTGTGTATTTTCCATGTATAGAAAAACTACTATCAGGCTGGACACAGTGGCTCACACCTGTAATCTTGACACTTTGGGAGGCTAAGGTGGGCAGATCACCTGAGGTCAGGAGTTCGAGACCAGCCTGGCCGACATGCTGAAACCCTGTCTCTATTTAAAAAAAATACAAAACATTAGCCAGGCCTGGTGCTGTGCACCTGTAATCCCAGCTACTCAGGAGGCTGAGGCAGGAGAATCACTTGAACCCGGGAGGTGAAGGTTGCAGTGAGCCGAGATGGCGCCACTGCACTTTAAGCCTGGGCAACAAGAGCGAAACTCTGTCTCAAGCAAACAAAATAAACCTATCAGAATGTTTATTAATAGTTTAATTTACCATATTAATTGATAAAATGAGAAAAATATTATTCTAGCATAAATGTTAATAAAAGTAATTTGATAAAATTTAATTGCAATTCATAATTTTTTATTTTTTTTACTGAGTCCCACTCTGTTGCCCAGGTTGGAATACAGTGGTGCAATCATAGCTCACTGTAATCTCAAACTGCTGGGCTTGAGCAACAATCCTCCAGGCTCAGTTTTCTGAGTAACTAGGACTACAGACACATGCCACCAAAACTGGCTATTTTTTTAAACGTTTTTTCTACACTGCCCAGGCTAGTCTTGAACTCCTAGCCTCAAGCAATCCTCCTGCCAACGTTCTGGAATTACAGGCATGAAGCACCATGCCCAGCTACAATTTATAATTTAAATAAAAACTCAGGAAAACTGGGAATAGAAAAAAAATTCTGAACCTGATAAAATGTTATATACTACAAAAAAATCAAAATTTAGAATCATAATTTTCCATACAATCTAGTCCACTTGATACTAGAAATCCCTGCTAAAGTAAACAAAAAAGAAAAAAGTTTACAAAAATTGCAACTTTAAGATACAAAACTGACCTTATTCACAAATACTAAGATTGCCTACCTTAAAAACCTAAGAGATTTTACAGAAAAAAATGAAATTTTATAAGAATTCCATGAGGTTGCTGGATAAGATGAATATAAAAAACTCGTTACTATAAACTAGCAATAAACAGGTGATACAAAATATAATTTATAACAGTAAAAAAACTTCAAGTTGCTTGTGATTAATGCTATTCAGATATACATGATATTTATGGAGAAAACTAGGTTTAAAAAAATAAACTCTAAATTAATGGAAAGGGGGTACACTGTCCAAGGACTGCAAATGCAGTAATTTAAAGATATAAATTATTCCCAAATTGCTGTATAAACTCAATGAAATCCCAATCACATTCCCTAAAAGTCATATTGAATAATAAAAGGAGCAAAAAGCCAAGAAAAGAGAAGCGACTTCTAAAAAATAAGAATAAGGAAGAATGACTTGCCCTATGAGATATTAACATTATAGAAACACCATACTAATTCAGACACTGTGGCACTGGAGCAGCAACCGGGATGAAAGTAAATAAAGAGGTGAATTAATGGGGGTAAGAGAGAGCCTAATTCTCTAAAAGGACTGTCCCACAGATCTTTTTGTGATTACAGAAATGTTCTCTACGTGTACTATCCAATAAAGGAGTAGTGACGTATGGCTAGTTGAATAGTTGAAATGTCACTAGTGTGACTGAGAAACTAAATGTTTTATTTTGCTTAATTCTAGTTAAATATAAATATAGATAGCTATTGTGACTATTGGACTCTCACATCTGGCAAGTTCAGCCCTAGAAGCATGTATATATGGAAACATATATAATAGAGGTAACTGCAGATGAACAGGATAGACGGTAACAGTATTGGTTAGCCATGTGGGAAAGATATGAATCCCTATCTCACAAAATACACACCCCAAACTCAACATGGATTACACTTAAAAAAAAAAAAAAAAGGAAAAACAAAGCTTTATTGTATTTAGAAGAAATTTTGAGACTAACTTTATTATTTCTCCAGGTTGGGAAAGATTTTCCAAAATAAGACATAAAATGACAAACCATGAAAAATTAAATTTTAAATCTTGTGTGTCAAAAGTAACCATGAGAAAAATGAAAAATATAAAATATGGACAGGGTGATGGTATTTGTCATGCAGCTAATGATGAAAGATTTGTGTCCCAAGTAAAGACTCCTAAAAATCTGTTTAAAAAAATTAAAGAAACAACAAAATAGAAAAAGGATATTGACAGGTGATTCACAGAAAAGTCTACATAAAATGTTAATATGCATATAAAAATGTGCAGAATCTCACTAGTTTTCAGGTAACACAAAATAAACCAAGTTGAGATTTTCTACCCATCAAATGGGTGAACTTGGTAATGACTGACAATCCCAGGAATTGGTAGGGATATAGATCAATAGAAATTCTTAAGCACTACTGGTAGCAACAAAAGTTGATATAACCACTTTGGAGAAGAATACAGCAAAATCTAGTCAAGGTGAAAGTCCATATAATTTGTCACCTAACAATTCCATTCCTAAGTAGTTTTAAGATACATGTCTGCAGTTACAGATGAATAAGCATTGCTTCTAATAGTGAAAAAAGTGAAAACAGCCTGAAAGTCTACAACAGAAGAATAAAGTGGGACTCTTCTTTCAGTGGCACATTATAAAGCCATAAAAAGAAATTAATTATAGATTCATATATTATTAGTCAGTAGTCTATGCTAAGAAAAAAAGAGCCCTGGCAAAGAAATATCCTGTACTACTTCATTTTAGAACATTTAATTTTGTTGAGGAATGTGTGTATATGTATATGTAATATTATATATTGTATGTACTAAAATATAAAGAAATTTTTTGGAATGATGAACATGCATTTCAAGGGTAGTTGCTAATTCACAGGAGAAGAGAGAGGAATGAACTTGGATAATGGTAAACACACAAATATACATACAAAATAATAATATGGGTCTGAAGTTGGAATGAGGATATAATTCCTGATTTTTATCTTTGTGTTTTATTCTTGTGTTTTTAATCTCCAAATTATAGTAATTCTCTCTATATTTCAGGTCATTTGTTCCCAAGGGCATACCAGGAAGACTTAAACGTCATTCATTAGGATATTCTCAAACACATCTTCATTTAAATTGACAAGGAACCATCATAAAAGGAAGGAAGGAAAGAGGAAGGAAGGGAGGGATGGAGGGAGGGAAGGAGGGAAGGAAGGAGGAAGTAGGGAGGGAAAGAAGGAAACAAAGTAGGAATAGGTAGGAGGGAGAGAAAGTATAATATACCTTCCACAATCTCCATTTATTACGATACTATTATGATTATGTTTGTGTTTCAGAGCTATTCATTTAATACTGCTTATTGGCTAACAAGGGTACAGCTTTAAACTTATAACTACCTGTCTGATACCCTCTCATTTTAGTATTACTGTCTGATTAAGATTCCCCATTTTTTAAAAATATCAAGTTTGACATGAAGATTCTATCAAACATTTTCAAATTCATTATATTAGTCCAAGAGGTCAAAGATAAAGTCTCATTTCGTGAGTGGAAAACCTACTACAGGCAAGGGGTCTTCAGAACATCTCTGTCTATTCTTTTCAGTGGAGGGAAAAAAACCCCACAAAAACAACGATGCCTCCAATTGCTGCATTACATTCTTAATTTCGGTATTACATGGCCGTCTAAAAGCATTTCACAGGTGTTTGCTGGAACTCATTAGACTATTTGGAACTCCTTCATGCTCCCTAAAAGGCAATTAAAATGTGTCTGCAAATTACCTCATGTGGGCCAAAGCACAGCTGCCTCTTCCCCCAGTTACTACACAGTGTTTCCAAACACCAGAAAACTGCTTGGAAACCATCAGTTTGCAAAGGCAAAAAAGGGCCTTTGGGTGGCTTCTTTTCTTCCCATCCCCAGATAGGCCCATTCATTTGGGGTTGGCTGCCAAAACACAAAACAAGGTTGTTAAATGATAGAAGTGGCTGATTAGAAAGAAAGCTTTAAGGGTCTTAGGATACAATAAAGACTTAACTGATCCAATGAACTAGTGGATTCTGCTATAAAATCTTTTTCTTCTGCAGTAATAGTCACACAGAAGTGTCTGTTGGCCTTTAAGGTTACTGAATTGGAAATTTTGTGACTTGTTTAAGTGTGCAACAGCGGCTTTCTCAGGCTGCTAATCTCATATTGTCCATGTATTATCTGCTTATTTCTCTCAATAACAGGCTCATCATGAGTATATATTACTAAAATAGATGGTGCATATGTAATCTACTCTTAGGGAAAAGGTCTCCCTTGTTCCTGGAGAATTTTACTCCTGAATGAATAGAAGGTACATCATTGAGCAGGCAGGAACAGCCATGGCGATCCTTAGCATTAACTACTCTATTTAATCCCACTGTGCAGATCACAGCACTGAGGCTTAGAGAGGCCAGAGCCACAGAGTCAGCTGGAACCTGGTAAAAGTGAGATTCAAACAAGCTGATTCCAAATCACAAGAACTTAATCACACGTTTCCAAGGTAACAAGAAATAAGTCTAACAATTCCATTAATTTTAAAATTATTCTTAGTCCAATTTTTAATTAGAATTATTTCCCCCGAACTTGAAGTACATCAGTTGATTTCACTTCATAGCCCAGTTTCTTGATTTCAATTAAATCATGATAAATCATGTATTAGGAAATGGTATAACTAAAAATGAAAACAAAAATTAAGCAATAGGAAACTTCTATATATTTATCCAAAATCTTACGTCATAAAATAAGCATGTATAATTATACTAGTATTTAAATGTTGAATGCCACCAAAATAAAATCTTTTAATATTAAAAAATTATATTTCTCTAATCAGAGATTAAGTTACAGACTGGTATTTTTGCAGCAAGAAAATTTGCACATTTAAAGAGGGAGATATTTGGTATAAAGCAATTGAAGTTAAAGAAATTACAGTTGAAAATGAAAAAATAGAATGGAAGAAATTTAATATTTTCTCAGATAGCATGTAAGGTGTAATTTATAATAATTTAATGGAATGCTGTTTGAAATAACTAAATAGCAATACAAGGTATTTTGTAGTTATATCATACTAAATAATAAAAGTTGGCTAATTATCATTAAAAAGTGCATGGATGATTGCTGGGAAGGAAAGAATGAGATGACACCGATGGGTTTAATATCTAAATTAGTGGTCATCTTATCTACTTTTATTGCTGGCCAATTGAGGCAATAAATGAAATTTTAAAGCAAATGTGTTGGTACTTTGCTATACCTTAGTCTACAACACAAAATTCCATGTGGCAGGGGTGGAAGAGGCAAAAATAGATTGCTACCGCACCAAGCATGAAAGATAGCAATTTGTAACTATTAAATGGGAGAGTTCCCTGATCCCCATCGCAGGATGTGCAACAGAGGTGTGGTTGCTGCCACTGCTCAAACCCCTGACAGGATGGGGAGCATGCAGATAGGCAGGCACAGGATCTGGGGCGAGTGCTTTGGGCTCTGGCCCCACAGTAGTGTCTAGGGGTTGGTGCCTGCAGCCCCAGTGTTACAACGCTCTTTTAGCCTTGCAGTCTGCAGACAGCTGAAGTGCTAACCAGCTCAATGGACCATCTACCTTTTTACAAGGGCAGAGGGCCAGTGTGACAGCTTTCTGTATCCCAAGCTCTTGCTCAGAGTCCCGGAAGCATCGGGTCACACACGGGCTTGAAGGATGAATGCGGGGTTTTATTGAGTGGTTGAGATGGCTCTCAGTGGGATGGATGGGGAGTTGGAAGGGGGATGGAGTGGGCAGATGATCTTCCCCTGGAGGTTGGCCAACCAGCGGCTGAGATCCCCTCTGACCGTCCCCTGCTGAACTCCCCTCGGTGTTCAGACGTTCCTTCCCTTCTCTCTTTCTCTGCCATGTCGTTCTGCCGTTCATCTCCTTGTCTCATTGTCCCTTCATTTGCTCATCTGCTCATCTGCTTCCGGAGCCTGGGGTTTAGAGTTTATATGGGTACAGGATAGGACGCGTGGCGACCCAAACAGCAATTTTTGGAGCATGAAAACAGGAATGCCTGTCCCCATTTAGGGCCGTGGGTCTCCAGGCTTGAGGATGGGGCCTTTGCCGGGGAACTGTCCTCTTCTACCTAGTATTTCCCTGTCCCCTGTCTGCACCAGTGGCTCATGGTAAACTTTGTGATGTTTTGATTTTTTTTTTTTAAATGTAATTTAGCTCCCTATCGGATCAATAAAGTTATTATTTTTGCTTTTCTTATTTGCTTCAAGCATCCTTCTTCATGAAGTCATTCCTGACTATCACAACTTCCAGTGACCTTTCTCTGTGCTGGAATAAGTACATGCTTTATGTATCTTGCTCTTTTTTTATTCTTTATAGCACTCGCCACTACCTGGCATCATGTTAGAAATGCTTGTGTGGTTTTTCGTTCATTGTCTTTGCTCCACTATCCTCCACAATAGAAATTAAGCTCATTGAAGACAGGAATTTGGTTGCTTTCCCCAACTATAGTGTGGTCCTAGATGGTGCTTAATGACTTAAGTGAGGAAATCAAGGCATTTCCTAAAAATTTCCCAGTTACTAGTAGCTATTTTTATTGCCATTATAAGATCAGTCCTTGTTCTTTGGCAAATCCATAAATTTGATCTTCTCAATGGAGCCATAATCAATCGGAATCAAGGAAAAATTGGCTGCGTGTGGTGGCTCATACCTGTAATCCTAGCATTTTGGGAGGCAGAAGTGTGTGGATCACTTGAGGTCAGGAGTTCAAGACCAGTCTGGCCAACATGGTGAAACCCCATCTCTACTAAAAATACAAAAAATTAGCTGGGCATGGTGGCACACACCTGTAATCCCAGCTACTTGGGAGGCTGAGGCAGGAGAATTGCTTGAACCCGGGAGGTGAAGTTTGCAGTGAGCCAAGATCACGCCAGATGCACTCCAGCCTGGATAACAGAGCAAGACTCTGTCACAACAACAACAAATTAATCAGGCATGGTGGTGGGTGCCTGTAAATCTCAGCTACTCTGGAGGCTGAGGCAGGAGAATTGCTTGAACCCAGGAGGTGGAGGTTGCAGAGAGCTGAGATTGCACCACTGCACTCCAGCCTGAGCGACAGAACAAGACTCCATCTCAACAACAACAACAAAAAGAATCACGGAAAAACTATTCATATTAACTAACATTACACGACACAAATGTATAAGTAGCTATGTTAAGGGTTTAGAATGCTAGGTGGCAACTATGTTGAAACAATAGGCACTTACATGTACAAATCTATCAATCAGACTAGGCTAAGGAGAGGAACACAGGACACATCAGCACTGAGTTGGTTATTAAAACCACTATTGACCTCTTGTCTAGTTTGAAATATTTTGAATTAATCTACCTCCTTAACTTAATTTTCTATTCAGCTCTGACCACATTGCCTTATTTGTTTTCCTTTAGCATTTTAGATATGAAAAGTTTGCCTCCATGTGAATCTCTGCACACAAACAAAAGTACCTTCCCTTACCTCCTTCCTTTTTTGTCTCCCACCTCTTTCTTCATCATAACACATTTTCTTCTTTATTTATTTCCTTATTTGTTTATTGCCTTCTCTCCACCTCACCAACTCTGCAGGAATATAAACCCATGAGCTTGGGGGACTCTGACTTGTCTGTTAAATTCTGGAAGTACCCAGCACAAAACAAAAGCTTGTGGAATGACTGAATGAATGTTCTTTAACATTTGTGTATTTTTTAAAATCAGGATACTGAAAATATAGGCTTGGGAAGATAATTGAATAAATGTAGGTAAAGCACCTGGAATATAGGTTTTCAATAAATGACAAACATCAAACACTGTTGATTTATGTGATGTTTTAGATCATTTTGATGAACCCTATACTTGTAAAAAATAGCATCAAATACTAGTTGATTTATATGATTTTTTAGATCATTTTGATGAAGACTATACTTTGTAGCAAAAATTTTAAGTAGTGTGTTTCAAAAGCCTCATCTGAAATCTGCCACAGAAGCCTAAAATAAACATTGTGTTTTATGCATACAGAGAGACCTCCCTTTTGAGCTTTTCCTTTTAACTGGTGTTTTGTAAAATATATTCATCATTTTGAAATATTGATTAATTGCCCCAACTCCTTGACTTCCTAATTTAGTGTTTTGAAAAATGGTTTCCATTTTTGGCATTTATTTTGCAATATTTTATCTTCAACTGAACTTTACTTAGGTTATTGTCAGAAGTTTTATGTGATAGAGTTAGCAAGCAAAGTCAATATTTGGCAGTCCTAGTATGCACTACTTATAAATACAGTCTCCAGCATGATTTCAGCAATCCATAACAAAAGATGGAGGCGCCCAACTGCTGTTTTATTACACCCATGCAAGAATGGTGTGCTTTAATACAAGAAGTATACACGTTTAACGCCTTAAACCAAGGCTAAAGTAAATATCCCCAATAAAGCTCAGTGATGTCACTCAGTGTGTATCAAAGACTGATACAAAGGGAAAACATAAAGTAACTTCAATCCTCTCTCATTCACTCTCTGGATGAGATTTAAAATTGATTCTTTGTCAGATAAAGCACTGTGATCTGATGACATACATAATTTGATATCACTAGTATTGCTCTCTTCAGCTCTACAACCAAAAAGATAAAATTATCTGTTGTCCGTTCAGAGTTTTAGCAGCAGTTTCTGACAGCTAAGCTTAGAGTTTGATAACTTAACATTAACCAATTTATTTGTTATTAATATACAAATATTAGGCTGACTATAAAAAGCTTGTAGGTGTGGTTATTTCCCTTCCTTTGTCAACTTAATCTTGGTGGACCCAATAAAATATGACAGGAACTTGTAGATGTAAGGTACCTATATAATTTATATGATTATGTCCTCAGATTTATAATTGTGAAATTTGGTATTATACTCACATCCCCTAAGCTACATTTTAAATTATTTCAGAAATACTAAAATTTGTATTTTGGGCACAAACCTGCTTTGATGGATAACTTAGTAGAACCTCTTAAGATATCTGACCATTAAAATACTAGACACAAGTTTAAAAACAATCTTTCCTCATTAAGGTCAGTTTCTTATCTTCATATCCCAATGGGAAGGTTTTGAGTGAATCAATTAAATAACCCATTCCTTTCTCTGTCCTTGAAATTCAGTATCTTAGGCCAGTGGTTCAAATACCCAAATGAGTATCAGTATCACTTTAGACAGCTTTAAAATATATTAAATTCCAAGACCCTTTCTGCTATTAAATCAGCATCTCTGAGGGTAAAGTACAGGAAATAGCTATTTAAGATGAACAAACAAACAACAACTGCAGCAACTTCCCATGAGAAATACAAATTAAAACTATTATATATTACTTACATACCCACCAGGATGGCTAAAATGAAGAAGATAAATTAGAGAGAATGAACAAGACATACTATTTGATCACAAAATAGGGTGACTATAGTTAATAATAACTTAATTGTACATTTTAAAATAAGTAAGAGTATAACTGGATTGTTTGTAGCACAAAGGATAAATGCTTGTGGCAATGGATACCCCATGCAATTTCACATTATATGCCTGTATCAAAACGTCTCAGGTACACCACAAATACATACACCTACCAGGTACCCAAAAAATTTAAAAAAATATTTAAAAGATTAAGAAAAATGGCAAGTGTTTGCAAAGAGGTGGAGCAAATAGAACACACACACACACACACACACACACACACACACTGCTAGAGGGAAATTTGGTACAACAGCTTTGGAAAACTATTCTACTGTCTGCAAAAGCTCATCCTACACGTATCCCATGACCCAGGAATTCTACTTCTGCATACATTCTACTTCTGGGTACATATTCAGCCAAAATGTGTGCATATGTTTACTAAAAGACATGCACTAGAATGTTCACAGTGGCATTATTTGAAATAGTCTAAAATAGAAAACTACGAAAATATTCATCCACATTTTGTAAACAAACTGTGGCATATGTAGCAAAACAAAACAAAATAAAACAAAACAAAACAAAACATGTTTCCAGGGCTGGGCACGGTGGCTCACTCCTGTAATCCCAACACTTTAGGAGGCTGAGGCAGGCAGATCACCTGAGGTCAGGAGTTCGAGACCAGCTGGGCCAACATGGTGAAACTCCGTCTCTACTAAAAATGCAAAAATTAGCCTGGTGTGGTGGCACGCACGTGTAATCCAGCTACTTGGGAGGCTGAGGCACGAGAATCACTTGAACCCAGGGGGCTGAGGTTGCAGTGAGCTGGAATTGCACCACTGCACCCCAGCCTGGGTGACAGAGCGAGACTCCGTCTCAAAAAAAAAAAAAAAATGCTTCCATGAGAATAAAACAGCTACTACTACATCAACAATGTAGATGAATTAAACATAATGTTGAGTGAAATACATCAATCACAAAAAAGTTCATTCTGTTTCATTAAAACTATATGAAGTCCAAAAATAATACAACAATAGTCTATGATGTTAGAAGTCAGGGTAGTGGTGACTCTGGGAGAAGGTGGGGATAATACAGGAAGGGGTACATGGGGGCTTCTTGGATGCTGGAATAGGTGTAATGATTAATACATTCCAGAACCAGATTATCCCAGCACCCAAGAATTTTCACAAAATCTATCAAGGTTATCTCTACACGTATGATTTGTGCGCTTCTCTGTATGTATGTTAAGCTTCAATAAGAAGCTTAAGACAGAATAAAAATCCCATGTAATTATGCTGATCAACCAATACACTTGTCTAATTTTAAAAATGTCTTCCAGGTTCATCTCAATTGTTCCAGCTTACTCTTCCACTGAAGAGAAAAAATACTCTGTCACACATGAAAACCTACTCAGACCAGAAATTTAGTGAGGTGCAGGGGTAGGAGGGTGTGGGTGGTGAGGTTAGGTCACCAAGTCCATATTTTGAAATTCTGCTGAAATTCTATTTGAGAATCTAGATTTACGAATAATACCATTACCCAATTTTCTCAAACGTTAGTGTAAATAATATGTTTGGAATGAGTTCTAAGAATCTGCAGATTTATAAACAGTAAACGTGATTCTGATGCTAAGCACACTTCTGTGTGCTAAGTGTTCTTTGTGAGTGCAAGATATATAGCATGTGTAATACATGGTGACTACTCCCCTGAATGTACCAGATAATCTTTTCCTGGCGATTTTCTCAGAATTATATCTATTTACTTGCTGAGACCTGGAGAGTTGGCCAAAAATCAATCACATGTTATCTTCCCATACACTCAGATCCCGGTACCAGGCCTGTTTTCTTTCTTGCCAGTCAGAGTTACTTGGTGAATTCAAGGAAGCAAACTATAATTAATATTAACCTAGATCAATTAAGAAACACATATGTCATGGAGCCATCTCTGAGCACACGTACTCACACACATACCCTTATACTTGATTATTCTCTCTTTTGGTAGATCAGTCCAATTTATTGTCTTTTTAGCACACATAATTACATAGTTGAAAATTCCTGATTCTTTACAAAATCCAGATACAGAAGTAAAAGGACAGTTGATAAGCAGGGAAATTAACAGTGAACTGCTCAGCTTCACACAAGCATTCCTGCTAGATTACAAAGACTGACTTCCTCCCTCTCTCCAGCTTCCTTCCTTTCTTCCTTCCTTCTACTTCTCTTAATAAAAAAAAAATTGCATATATTCATTGTAGAAATTTTGAAATATATAGTAAAGCTCAGAGAAGAAATTATTAATAATGCAACCAACTGCAGAGAACTTATATGTATGTTTTATCTTTATCTCCTTATGTCTTTTTTAGATATACATATGTATGTCCTATAGCTATATTTCACTACATGTATTTTGTAATATAAAGTCATTATGGGCTAGAGGCTTGGTGGCTTACGCCTGTAATCCCAGCAATTTGGGAGGCTGAGATGGATGGATTTCTTGAGGTCAGGAGTTCAAGACCAGCCTGGGCAACATAGTGAAACCCCTGTCTCTACTAAAATCCAAAAAAATTAGCAGGGCATGGTGGTGGCTGCCTATAATCCCAGCTACTCTTGAGGCTGAGGTGGGAGAATTGCTTGAACCCGGGGGGCAGAGGTTGCAATGAGTTGAGATCGCACCACCACTGCACTCCAACCTGGGTAACAGAACGAGACTCTGTCTAAAAAAAAAAATTAATTAAATAAAAATAAATAAAAATAAAGTCTTTATGCCACACATACTTTATGTAACCTGATTTTCCACAAGTCATATAGAAGTGAATTATTTGTAAACTTCATTTCAAATCAAGAGCACTTGTACATCAGCTTAAATTACCTACTGTCTTTGATCCAGATTAGACCACTATCTGATGTGCTGGACCCATACTTAAAAACTTTTATAGAAAAAATTGAGAGAAGGAAGGGAAGAAGGGAAAGAAAAATAACCCATATGAACTGTAAAGATTTCGCTACAATTCAGTAATTTTCAAAATAGGTCATTTGACTAAATTCTAATTTTTAAAGCATTTTATTACATTGTATATGCATGCTTTAAAATTATTCACTTGCTATAATTCATTAATTTCCAAAGAGGACTAAATCCAAAGAGAGAAACTCCTCTTTTTTTCTCTATAATTACAACAGAAAATTTGACATGGATATTGAAAAGTCAAGGAGAAATTTCTGAGAAGATTGTAGAGCTTATGATACAGTGCTTCATCTGTATCTTGAGGCTAAAAATATTGGGTATTAAGAATAACTTTGTCAACCTCTCTGAACTCTACTTTGCAAAAATAGAAGATCATTTGAAAGTCCATGCATATTCAAACTCAGAAAAAATGTTAATTGAGAATAAATGTTCATAATTTCTTAACTTCCAGATGAACATTTAGTTGAATTGGACAGTTCTTAGAAGCATTGTTTTTTATTTTTGGTTTAAGACCATTTGCTTCCATTGGCCACAATATCTTAGACAGACACAGGTATTTTAATATTTAAATATTGTGTATGTATATGCTTTAACTTTTAAAATAATCTACAATTTTTAGCTTTTAGACCAGAATATGTTTCATGAATATTAATTTTATAGGCATTCACCAAATCCATTTCGAAAGAAAGAATTTGGATAAATGAACATACAAGATAGTTTCCAGGAGTAGTGCAACTTCAACAGTTAATGATTTAAGTACATAGTCATATAACATTTGAATTTGAGAAACTATTTAAATGATAATTTTAATTTGGATTAAGACAAAACAAATTTAAGGATAGAGATGTTTATACTATAGTTATAAAAAGATATTTGAAAAAGCTGTTAATATAAAATATATTTACTTTGAACTATAGTAATCTGTGTGTGTGTGTGTGTGTGTGTGTGTGTGTGTATACATGTATATAAAGAATGTACCATCTATTGTACTGAAAGCATGGCAATATTTTCAGACATGGGTTATCTCCTTCTTTGCTTATAAATTTAACTTATCCCATTCACACTCAAATTGGCTTTCTTAAAAAAAAACAACTAATTCTTTTTTTCAAATGCTGGTTATTCAAGTCTCTATTATGAATATACGTATTGTCAGTTTACAAGAATATGTACACTGATTATTGGTGCGTGTGTGTGTGTTTGTGTGTGAAAGACAACTAATTCTTAAAGTTTCTATACAGCCTCTGAGTTTCTAAATCCTACTAACCATCCAAGTTTTTAAAAAATGTTCCTGACACATGCATACACACATATTTTATACCATCCTGAGCTTCCTAAAATTCATGTTTAACCAAAACATCAGATTGTGAATCTGACAACAGAGGGTTTTCATCCATAAACAAATGCCAACTGTCTATGTGACATCAGTGTACCTCGCTAATATAATGAGAAAATAATCAGTCAAAATGATAAGTTATTGAATTTTTTCTTGTGTTTTAAATAAAAGATGGAGAAAAATTTTCTTAACTAAAAATAAGACAAGATGCCATGGGATGAAGTAAGTCACCACCTGGAGCAAATCTAAAGAATTTGGGAAAAAAATCGCTAGGGAAGAAGCCAAAAAAAAGAAGGCAGGGAAACCTCAAACACAATGAAAAGTAAAATGAGTTTGATGGCTTTAAATAAATGTAAAGGAAATAGTGGGAGGAAAAGGAAAACTTCAATAGTGGAAGCATAAGACTGTCTCAGAAAGTGACAGAACTTAATCCTATCAACATCTCATTTGCATATCCATAGTAAAAAATAACAATGGTATTTTTGTGACCAAAAATATATGCAAAGCAGTCATTGTTATAGTTCAGTAGCTATTTTTGAAATGGAAATTTTCTTACAATTTGAAACAGTTCATTCTTCAAAACACCAAAAGGCATCAGCATCTACTTTAGACTACAGAGCATTTTTTCATTGTGATATGCTGGATTTAACCACGGTATTCCCTCTAGAGGCAAAATTTACCCGTCTGTAAAAAATTGATAGATTTTTTTTCTTCTTGTATTTGAGATTGCTATAAACATCTGAAGCGACTAATTAAAAAAAAAACTGCGTCAGTGCAATGAAGTGATACAGCTATGTCAGTTTGCTTCTTATTGTCATAAAAAAATTTTTTGCAAGCCCTGGGAAAAAAAAATATATCTCAAGTGGAAAAGAGAAGTAATGTTACCATCAATAACACAAGAAAATCTCAGATTGTTTATTAGTTCTGACCTCCTTCATTGATGGCTGTATAAACTCATATTTCTGTCATTGATTCTGTGCTTCTATTCAGCACTAACATTTTAATAAGAAAAAATGTTAAATATCAAAGTAATAGATGAGCATTCCTCTAAAAGCCAATTTCATTAAATACCATCGGTATTAATCTTTCTAAATCTTAATTACAGCCTTTTGACATATTACCCCCTATTTGACCTTTTCTGCTCAATTCCAGTAAAGATCTGTAGGACAGACAGGGATACCAGCCCGTGTAAACCTACAGAAATGCATCACTTTAATGCTACTGAGCAAATGGGGATGGTGACCCAAAATTATATTTTATTCAGGAGTCAACGAGGCCACATTTTTCTAAGTGAGCAAACAAGTTCTGACTTTTCCTGCTTCAAGATTAAGACATCTAAAAAGAGAGGCCCATAAGTCTGAGCAGATAAAGTTGTGAAAACTGAGACTTTAAGAAAAAAAAGAAAAAGTATTGCCAAAAGAAGAAAACTTCCTAAACAAGATATGTTCCATGAAATTTAGAAACAATTAGTAATGGCAGGCTGTAATCAAACCACTCGAAATTCAGTTGAAAATAGTAAGAGCTGGCAGTTCCAAGATTAAAAAAGTAATGATTCTGCTATTAAGCCACATTTGCACCAATCAATAGCTCAAAAGCATCCTTATTTTGTTAGATTTACTGAATAAGCACAAGTGAAATATTTGAGGAAAGGGGGCTTAGGAAATTTGCCCTTAGAAACATGTACAACCAGGCACCAGATACTTGAATAGCAATTCATTTGGTACAATTATATTTTCCCATCATTTTTCTCATTTTTCTTGATGGCTTTATCCATTTTATATCCCATACACTTCAATTTAGTTTATTTATTTTTATCTAAAAAATTTTTACTCCCTCCGCCCCTTTTCCTTATCCATTTTGTTTTGTTTTTTTTCTGTTATACCATCTTCATGACATTATGTCTACCGGTCTGTCTCCTCATTTATCCTTTATTGGAAAGTGGGGAAAATAAATCCCAAAAGTTAATAAGGAATTTTTAAAATTTTCTTCATGATGATTTTACGAAGGTATACCTTTACATTTTAAATGTGAGATGGACTACATTGCAATAATAGATTATTATTATTTTGGAGATTATCACAGCCTTACAGCTTCAGGACACATAATCAGTATAAGCCTTTTTTTAAAAAGGGACTCAAAATTTAGAACGTCTGGGAGAAAGCCTGTGTTTCCAGATGTTTAAAATGAACCTATTGGGATATTTAAAAGATTATTATTATAGTGTATTTTAAACAAAAGAGTGATTGATAAACTTCTTGCTTTCATATAGGAGATGGTCAAACAAAGTCTGCCAAGAAAGAGTAAAAATCTATAGCCTCGGGAATTTGAAACTTACAAGGTTGTTTCTGCCAGCATGCTTTAAGGAGACCAAAGGTAGTAATACAGTGTTGTTTTGGAGAAATGTTTCTTTCCCTTTGCAACATCATGTCAGTCTTTATTTCTAATCCACCCTAGCCTTAGAAACTGACAAGGTAAGTAAGAAATGTAGGGTGAACAAGTAGGTAGTTCCATGTCTGCTTTCTGTAACCTGAAAAATTACTTCCTCCCTCAGCGTTTAAGTACATCTTATTCTCACAGTGGTGTCCTCAATGTATGAAATTTTCCCATTATAATTCATTTGTTCTGCTGCTTCTTTAAGCTAACTTCCTCCATTGTCTTTTCAAAAGAAGATATTCTGCAGATTACACGTTAAGTATCATAAACTTGAATATAAAATTTTATTATCACAATCTATTAGCTATTGTTTATTGAGGCTAATTTTGTGCTAGACATATATTTTGCTAAACATTTTACAAATATTATCTCATTTAATTTCATAATACTTCTAAGAAGGGAAAGGAACATTTTACTATTAACTTTTATACTGTTTACATGGTGAGGCTTAGAGAGCATGTATTAATTCCCTCATCTAACACAGCTTCTTAGGGACAGAGCAAGAATCTAAGCCCAGGTCTGCAAGTCCCCACAATCCATGTGGTAAAGCTTCCTGTTATTTTAGGTTGATTTCTTCTCAGCCTGGAGACCCAGTCCCCATAAAACATTTATTTGGGGTCACTGAATTGCTGATCTGGTTGCCATGTCTGGCTGGCATCTGGGGTGTTTTGGAGGGAGGTCATTTCAGAGGGGATTGTTTATAGAGGGAGGGATTGTTGAAGAAGCAAGCAGAGCTGGAAAATGAGTTTCAGAAAATTCCCCAGGATCCACTGGGATGAAAAGCACAGGAGGCAATTTTCCATGTGCACATGCAGTCCAAATTCTTCTTGTTAGGTCTGACATGGAGCACTATTTCCATAATGCACATTAATAAGGCAATTTTCTTAGAAAAATAAACGGAGCTGCTTGCATGGCTTATTCAACTCAATTTCCATGGGAATTCAGTGCTTTGGTTCACTATGAAGAAGGATGGAACCCTTCCACAGCAGGGCTCTTAACTCGGAGGTTCACTGCTGACCTTTAACATATATTTTCATAACTTCCCTTAAATCTACAGTGTGGAGAAAACAACCTTCCTGCTCTTCAGTTCTCCAGGGCTTATGTGCTCATGTTGCGCTAGTCATGTTGCATTAGATGTTGTAACTAAGAGGAACTGAGGTGATGCATCATAATGAGATATCCTAGGAGGAGAATTCGAAAGCAGAGAATGACAGGTGGATGGCAAAGAATCGGCGCCTTGAAATTACAGACAAATGATTCTCATGGAGATACCTTCCCCTTACCTCACGATGCTGAGGCCACACCGGTTTGATTTCGTTCTAAGCATAATTCATGGGTCTCAGGAACATACTTTATTAGTCACAGAGTGCATATAAAGATGAACTCAACATGATCCTCATCCTCTCAGGGCTAACAATCAAGTGGAAGAGAAAGACGTGCGCAAAAAGGGGCATAGTAATTATCACAGTGCATCAGAGCACGGGTTTGGATTCCAGTGTGCTTGGAGAAGTGTCCTGGCTCTGAATTTAGTAGCTGTGAGACCTTGATCTAGTTATTTTTTTTTTTTTATGTTTCAGTTACCTCATCTGTAAGATGACAATAATAATATTACTTATTTTATAGGATTGTTTTGATCAGAATTGAGCACAGTGTCTGATTCACAGTAATCACTCTGTGAACTTAGACTAATAGTGTTAGAAATAACATCAGTAAGAATACTAAAAGGTGGTCTGTACGTTAAATGAAGGCATTGTAAAGGGTTGTTAGTATCCAGAGGAATAACTCTTAATTCAATCAGCAAAATCTTTATGGATTACAAGGTAGGACTTAAAATAGGACAAAAAGAGTAGGGGTGGTTGATCAGAAATAAATAATATAAATAATCAACATGCCCAAGGAAAAAAATAAAAACAAAGTCATAGAAATAAAAGATATGTCCATAGAAGAATGAAATATTCTGATTTGAGTAGGGTATGGGAATGTGGGTAAGATTATAAATTTAGGCACTGGGTTCTTTCCCTAAGTAAGCCAGTATTTTTTGCAGGATATGAATAGCGATATTGCAAAATAGAATCTGTGGTCACTTGGAAAAATGTTGGATTAAGCAAAGTTAGCAGATGTTTTAGCCACAGGACTTTTCATTGCCTTTAAAAAGCCAGTGCTTGGCTGGGCGCGGTGGCTCACGTCTGTAATCCCAGCACTTTGGGAGGCTGAGGTGGGTGGATCATGAGGTCAGGAGTTCAAGACCAGCCTGGCCAAGATGGTGAAACCCTGTCTCTATTAAATATACAAAAAAATTAGCCAGGCATGGTGGCGGGCGCCTGTAATCCCAGCTACTTGGGAGGCTGAGGCAGAGAATTGCTTGAAACCAGGAGGCAGAGATTGCAGTGAGCTGAGATCGTGCCACTGCACTCCAGCCTGGTGTTAGAGTGAGACGAGACTGTCTCAAAAACAAAAACAAAAACAAAAACAAAAACAAAAACAAAACAAAAAAACAGCCAGTGCTCCTGGATTGGGGAGGCAGTATGTAATGGCTTGTTTTAACATAGCATGGAACATTTTCCCATGGTCTGCCTATTTACGGAATGTAATTTAGAAAATACTCTTCTATATACAATGGAAGAGCTTTAAAAGATTTGGAGCACAACAATGGCAATTATTTGGTTTCATGTGTAACAAGCTTTTTGAGAAATCTGCAACTCATTGGTGTATAAAATTACATGATTTTTTTTTCTCCAATTGTTGATTTCAACTCTTACCTGTCCAGTCTCCTTTTCTGGTTATTTAACACTATCTTATGCAGTTTTATAACATTCTAGACAAGCTTTGATACTACTACATTGGGCAATCCAACTTAAAATTTTAATCTCTAATTTAAATCAAAGTTTGATGTTCTTCTTCTTGTAAGCTCAAATGCTTTCAGTGTGTTAGGATGAGGAGAAGAAGAGAAGTCAACTCTTGTCTCCTAAGGTGGTAGCCCCATCATTTTACGGGCTAATACTAAACATTGGTACTCCTGTGTGGTAGGCATCCCTAATCTGATTCTCGTAAGTACGTGCATGTAGATTCTTCAGAGGATCCCACGGAGTCTCCCCATTTGCCTGATCTCTTGACACGGGAGCTTCCATTTTATCATCACCCCTCCACTCCTCCATCTCCTAACACAGGAAGGGGAACCAACACGATGGCCTGAGGCAGCTGCTTCCCTGGTGTTTAGTTGACCTATTGAAGAGTCACATGCTCGCTAAGATAGCATCATGCTGACTGTTCAAGTGTACTGCTCCTGAAATAGCTTACCAGTTATCTTTCCTCCACTCAGATTGGCCTGGGTACAAACCAGCAAGCAAATTTATTTTCTTTTGTTTTTTGAGAAGGAGTCTCACTCTGTAGCCCAAGCTGGAGTGCAGTGGCATGATTTCGGCTCACTGCAACCTCTGCCTCCTGGGTCCCAGTTCAAGCAATTCTTTTGCCTCAGCCTCCTGAGTAGCTGGGATTACAGGCACGTGCCACCATGCCCAGCTAATTTTTGTATCTTTAGTAGAAATGGGGTTTCACCATGTTGACCAGGCAGGTCTTGAACTCCTGAGCTCGTGATCCGTCTGCCTCAGTCTCCCAAAGTGCTGGGATTACAGGCGTGAGCCACCACACCCGGCCCAGCAGGCAAATTTCTAAGCAGACATCCAACCAGGGAACAGAAGGAATGTTAGTTTCTCCTTCTCATTTGTACCTCCAGTCATTATGAGCCATTTACCTAGAGTCACCCTTCCCACACCCCAAGCACAAATCTACTTGGCTTTTTAAGGGAAAAACACCCTCTGGAGAGAAGAGGAAAATATCTCACCATCAATCTTTCACTCCCAACAAGCCCTATGACTCAGGTGTTCAACTTCTGTCCTATTCACTTTCTATATCTGCTGAGGGTAAGGAAGGGGCTGGCAGGGACTGGAAAAGTACAAGTTATGTTTAGTTTGATTAATCCTGAGTTTTCTGACACCATGGGTTATAGGCTCTTTAGCAACATTTTTTAAATACACAAAGTACACAAATCTTAGAGTTCCAGTTCAGATTCTGTCCTCAGTCACAACTCCTGAATAACTGAAAGTGTCCTAGTCAACATTCACCTACAAATGCTACAGTTTTTAACTTGACTTTACACACAGACACACACACACACACGTGTGTGTGTATATCCACATGGAGCTGAAGGGCAGTGAGCTTTGATAGACATGTGATAGACATATAGTGTGAGTGAGAAACAAACTTTTGCTGTTACAAGCACTTAAAATATTGGAGCTTATTTCTTCCTATGCATAACCTAACCTATCATGGCCAACGTAGATTTTTGGAGAAAAATAAAATAGGGAAGACAGATAGGGAGTGTTGCAGTGGGAGGCAAGTGGTATTTTGGTTTATAATAGAGAAAACAGAAGAGCTCTTATGGAAGTGTCTTTTGATCTAAGACCCAATTAGGGAACAATTATGCCTGGATGTAAGATGGTGGCGATTTGCATTCTCCAGTCCCCAGTTTGTCCACCAGGAAACTCGGCTGAGTTCTTGACCCAAGTTACCATGAGATACTTTTGTAGCCTTCCAATAATTTCCCATTTTGTGCCTAATCTGATTTGAATATGTTTTGTTTCTAGCACCATAACTTGTCCTGTCCTTTTATTTCTTACAAATAAAGGACCATGACCAAGAATAGAAAACTTTGGATTGCAGCTATTCCAGTATCTGCCATGATGTTATTGTGATTACATGTGGGTGTGAATTTATTGTCCATCCTGCACTGGTCCCTGAGAAATCCTGCTGAGGCTGAGGCTGAAACTGAGATGGAAGCCTTCTGCCTCCTGTGATTTCTAATCCTGCAAACATGAAAACTTGCTGTAAAGTAGAAATTCCAAATGACAGAAGAAACAGCTTTAATTGGAGAAAAATAACACTGAGACCCTAGTACAAATATGTATTCTTAATGAGAAATAACCATTAAAAGCTAAGGGTCTCTTTATAATGTATCCCACATTGACAGCTTTGTGAAAGAAAAGGTTGTTTTGGTGTAAGCACAGTGGAAGACAGTCTGTAAACAATCAATAATTGTGGAATGAATGTTAAAATCATCCTTTCCTGCTCCTCCTGGTAGACAGGAGTTTTTGTTTTTATTTTGTTTCCTATGTATTTGCTAGTTGTTTGTTTTTTTCTGCTCACAATTCGTTTCCCTTAAAGAAGGGAAATGAATATAAAATAAAGATCTCCTAGGGGAATGCCTCAGAGTCTCTGCAGGTAGAGGTGTGGGTCATGACATCACAGGTCTCTGTCCTCAGTGATAAATATGAGGAGAAACAAGAGACCCAAGACTAGTCACACAGTGTCTCTTGGACTTGTGAATTTCCAGCAGAATAACATGAAAAAGGGAAATTTTTGGAGTAGATTCCTTCCTGTACTGTTACCCTGTTGTGATAATCCATTAAATCCTGGTTTCAAGGTGCATGTGGGTTGTCCTGGTTCCTGTGTGTTCCAGTGTTCTATCATTTGGCATTTTCTAGCTCATCTTCTTTTTCCTTTTCTTTTTTTTTTTTTTTTTTTTGAGACGGATTCTTGCTCTGTTGCCAGGTGGGAGTGCAGTGGTGTGATCTTGGCTCACTGCAACCTCTGCCTCCTGGGTTCAAGTGATTCTTCTGCCTCAGCCTCCCGAGTAGCTGGGACTACAGGCACGCGCCACCACACCCAGCTAATTTTTGTATTTTTAGTAGAGACAGAGTTTCACCATGTTGGCTAGATGGTCTCGATCTCCTGACCTTGTGATCTGCCTGCTTCGGCCTCCCAAAAGTGCTGGGATTACAGGCATGAGTCACCGTGCCTGGCCTCTAGCTCTTCTTTTAATCCTACCCCATACTCACCAACAAAATAAAACAAAAAACTAAAACAAAAGCAAAACAACAACAAAACCCATCTTTGTATTCTCAATTTTCTCAAAACAAAAGACACTTAATAGGTACACCTTTGAAGAGAAGCTTTCTGAAATATCTTGGAGATGGTGACCATTTGTGATGGCCATGCTTTACTGGTCAAGCTGGGGTTCTTTATACACTTCTCTCACTTGAGATACTTACACCTACTATAATCCTTCTCAAGACTGCAGTGCTATTCTTCCTTAGGAGATCTGGGGGTTGCTGTCACTTTGTCACCAATGCCTGGCTTTGAACTTTTCTGTTACCGAATGCCCATATTGCATCTTCAGTGCAGACATCATCAATAAACTAATTGAAATAAAATTCTGATATTTAAAGTATTAAAATGCTACATGGCTCTCTGATTGGAAGATTATAGGGCAATATTGATAAGTTGCTACACTCTGTTCCTAAGACCCAGGGCCAGGTCAGAGACATTTGCTTAAGAGCCCCTTATAATATGAAAACCCTCTGCTTCTATCTGCTGTTACAAGATGCCCTGTTTATAAAATGGGCCTGTTTTTAAAATGAGGCTGTTTATAAAATGAAGCACAAATGGTTTTCCTTAAAAATCACCTCTTTTTTTTCTCATCTTTTCATGAAGATAGTGGGAAGAGGCACATGGGCTACTTTATGTTGGAGGTGGAGACAGAAATATCTTCATTTATAGCTCTAGCCAAGCATCCTGAGAGGAACATTTAGGTTATATAGAACATGCCTGGGAGCTCTCAGTCCAATACCTACATCCTTGAGACAGTCTTTGGAACCACACAATCATCACAGAAGTTTATGATTTAAGCAGCCTTGAAGTCTCCCACTTCAAGTTTTCACCTGTGCGTTCCACAGCCCACCTATTAAATGGTCAGCACATAAGGCATCCCACCTCTTCTTGCTTATCTCTGATGGTGGGGAAATCACTCATATAAGCAGGCTGTCCATTTCACCTTTAGACAGGTCCTCTTTTAAATGTTCTAGTTTAATTTAGAATCCATCTCTATAATTTTTACTTAGTGTTCTGGGGTCTACTCTAAAGTAACACAGAATTCTCTGTACTATTTAGACATATTTTAAATCAGACTCAGACAAAATCTACTAGATTCCCTTGAAAGCCTAAATGGTAAGTTCCTAATAGCCCAAATAAACTAATTAGAAATTGCAATTTAATTACACATTAATTACACACCATTTTCTTTTTAGTTAGTGTCACTTAAGGTGAACTGTGACTACAAATTTGTTTCTATTGATTGTGATGGTAATAAAGCCGGACTTAGAGTAATACCTTTTTTTCTTTCTTTTTTAAAAAACATTGTGCAATGGATTAATGTGGTTTTTACATTCTTTGCCTCCTTTCCTAAGGTATTGTACCAAGTGGATTAGAACTTCAAATGCTACAAAGATACAAAAGTGCTTTATTGAAAAATCCAAGACAGGTAATTATCACCCAGGTTTTTCAATGATTTTTTTTTTGATGTTTAGGTGGAGCTTTGTGCAATAATGTTTTAAAGAAAGAATAAAAAATATTTTCAGTGGCTATATAATAGTCTCCAATGTCTCATCTATTGGTTTTCTTTAGATGTTTAAAACCTCAGTATGAGTTAAATTTTATGAAATGGGGTCACTGACATCTGCAAAAGTACAACAAAAATATATACTGAATATCCTGTGGACTGAAACACATAATTGTCTAATGAAAAGGTTATCCACTGTGTTAAGTCCATCACTGGCAGAAAATTTCTATTACTTCTAAGAGAACAGATTTGACTGTATCTTCAAAGAGCTCAAATTTTATGTTGACTGGAATTTGTCCATCGGTATTACTACGTTCTATTACCAGCTTATGGTATCTAATTTATAAAGTCAATTTACATGCAAAGCTTTTTGTATTATTTGTGCTACTTAAATTCATCACAATACATTTATATCTCCTTTGTGAAATCACTTCCTGTCTCCAAGCTATTCAACACATAACTTTTTAAACAAAAGAAGCTAATTTAAAGGTTTTTCCAATAATTCTAATTCAGTAACTGAGTTCATAAAACCTTAAAAAGTATTCCTTTCTAGTAGAATATATTCACGAGTTGGAAAAGATCATTCATTTAAAACCATTGTCAATACAATACAATATTTTCTGACATGGTTAATAGCTATTACCATAGCTATCTAGAAAGGGGTGAGGGGCCTGAGGAGGCCAGGCGGGGTGGCTTATGCCTGTAATCCTAGCAATTTGGGAGGCCCAGGCGGGTGGATTGCCTGAGCTCAGGAGTTCAAGACCAGCTTGGGCAACATGGTGAAACCCTGTCTCTACTAAAACACAACAAATTAGCCAGGCATGGCAGTGTCTGCCTGTAATCCTAGCTACTCAGGTGGCTGAGGTGTGAGAATTGCTGGAACCTGGGAGGCGGAGGTTGCAGTGAGCCTAGATCGCACCACTGCACTCCAGCCTGGGCAACACAGTGAGACAAAAAAAAAAAAAAAAAAAAAAGGAAAAAAAAAAGAGAGAGAAATCAGAAGAAATTGACATTTTTTTTCTTTAAAGAGGAAGTTGGGGGGAGCACAAAATTAGCAGTGCCTAAAGAAAATTTTCACTCTTTGGTCCTGACGTGGAGGAGAGTTTTTTTATGTCTAAACAATGGATGTATGTGTCTATCCTCTTGTCCTTCTCTGGCCACCCTCCCCAACCTGTACCACAGCTGCCATAATGATCCTCTTCTTAGTCTCCATCTCTGACTTCATTTCTCATGTCAACAGCCTTAATGAATGGATTCCACTCAGTGGTTTCATCTGTAATAGTACAAGCCTGAAAAAAAGTCATCCATGAATCATATTTCATCAAAGGCAGCTCTGGTTACCATACAAAGTCCATCTATTTAAAAAAAATTGATTAAAATATTATTTGAAACAAAAGCGCAATGAACATAAGTTTCAGAAGACCCTGCAGAAACGTGAAGTGATATTCTGAAAGTTCTAGTTTTCATCACATGAACAAATGTTCAGAGCTGCAAATGCATTGTGAGTTTGAAGAAATACTGATAGGGACAGGAGGGACAGGAGGGAGGGAAATTCTGGGAAGAAGAAGGAGGGTCCCCAGTGAGGGCCCCATCCTCAAGCCAAAAAGCCTGAGACTTCAGCCCTAAGTGAGAACTTACATCCCTGTTTTCATGCTCAAATGTTGCCTTTTCTGAAACCACCCATGGCCCTACCCTACCCCATCCTGTGCCTATAAAAACCCCAGACACAGCCAGCAGAGAGAGGAGAAGCAGCTGGACATCAGAGACTGTGGTTGAACATCAGAGAGAAGCAACTTGACTTCAGAGAGACAGCTTGATGGTGTAACTTCGGGGAAGAATCCAGCCAGAGATGGCCAGACTTCAGGGGAAGATTACCTACCCGTCCCATCCCTTTTTCATCAATAGCCACTTTTATCAGCAATAAAATCCTCTGTTTTTACCATCCTTCAATTTGTTCATGCAACCTCATTTCTCCTGGATACCAGACAAGAGCTTGGGAACCACGAGTGCGGATATAAAAAGTCTGTCATACACACTTGCCCTTTGCCCTTGCTGGTGGAAGGCAACTGCCTCATAGGAAAAGGCAGAGGGTCCACTAAGCTGTTAATATTTAAGCCATCATGGACAGCAGAGCTAGAAGAGCACTGTAACACTCCCTCTGGGGCTTCAGGGGTCGTGAGTACCCCCCTTAGATGCTGCCACGGGGCCCTGCATGGATTTTACTCCTGCCAGCACCCAAAAGCATTTACCCCGGCTCCTGTACCCACCCACCTGCATGCTCCCTCCCACGAAGGGGTAGAGCACAGGGGGTCTGAGTGAGCGGAATTTGTTCTGGTCGGAGCCAAAGTGGCTGGCTAGTTCCAGCACCCATGCACTTGAGTTCCCAACCTTGTTTGCTGGCATGCTCCCTCCCACGAGGAGTTGAGAGCTGTGGGCTGAGTAAATGAGGCACCCTCTTCACAAGTCCCACTAAGGGGTCAGGGAAATAGTCTGCTTCAGTACTGTTACCCAAAACTTACAGGACACATTTTTCCTGCTATAATGAATGACAGATAATACCAAATGCAGTAAAGTCCTATAAATACCAATACAATTCAGGAAGTAGAATCAAATTCACCGAGTATTTTGGGAGTGGGGGGAGCGTGTGTATGAGTTTATTAAAAAGCCTCATTACGTCAGGGAACTATCCTAAAGTATTTTAAAAATTTTACCTCCTGGTGGAGGTTTCTCTTTCACTTAACTAAATAAAGTTTCAGATGTTCACATGTATATTATATATAACTGTGATCTTTACTGGAGTCAAAACCAATAAATATGTATTCAATTTCAAATAAAAATTCCTATTTTTCAATAGGAATTTTATCATTTTTAAAATCATTTTTAAGAATATTTTTCTAAGTAGAGTATCAAGGAAAAACTATTCATTTGGAAACAAATTTCTAGAAATGTCTGGTTTTACAACTTCAGGACCAAAGATGTCATTAGTTATTTTAGGTATTTTTAGTGGTCTGAAACTTGAAACCTTGAAACAATATTTAAAATGCAAATATACATAGTAAAGTTCTTGGGTATATTTTTGGCTTAAAAATTATTTTTAGAACATATGCTAAAGAATAAGGTTTTTCAGTAGCTGTATTTTTAAAAATTAAATTCAAACTTGTATTGATTTATTTGGTGAGTTCAGAAAACTGAGAAGGATGAAGTTTTAAAAGAGAAATGTTTCCTTTAAAGTGCCTGATAGTAGTACAAAAATGTATTGAGTTGTAAACCCTGAGTATGCAATCGCCTTGGGAATCATTTAAACTTATTTCTGCTGTTTCTTCTATTTAATGATCTGGAGTCTGAAAATGAGAATCAGGTATGCCAGTATGGTTTTTCTCTGAATAATTCACATAACTATAATACAGGAAAACAACTCTGTACTTTACCAATGATTTGATATGACTGGTTTAGATCTTATCAAGATGAAACTGATGTGAAACTGAATAGAACTGAAATTAATTGGAAACCTGACTGTCATACAGTGATATACACATTAGGCTCCTTGAATCCTGAAAAGTATCCTTTCACCGACTACAGTTGGCAGGAGATGATTGGGGTCGTTTTAGGAAGTATAGCTCTCAAAGGACCCATAATTAAAACCTTCTCAAATACTCCCTTTGCTTATAACATAGCATGCTCTGTAGTCATAAAATGATGAAGGCTAAATTTACTTGTAACTCAGTACAAAGTTAGGTAACAAATAATTCTTCGCTTTTATATTGTATTAGTAAACATCTTTTGCTGATGTTGAGTAACACTGAATTAACAAGATAGAGAGAGCTGTCAGTAGTCACAGCACAAGGAAACACATCAGGAATTTATTAGATTTGGATTTATCAGTGCGTAGAAATTCATGATGTTTAACTTAAAGGCAAAAAGAGCAGAACACTTTGAATAATAGCTTGAAGTGGATGATTAGCTAAGGGGATGCAACATTTAATAGCCAAAATAAATTACTATAATTATTTTATTACCTATGCTAACTGATTCCATTGTTTTTATTGAAATAACAGCTCCCTGAGGAAGGGAACGGTGCTTCAATGAATCTCAGCTGTAGGCTTGTATGTTCTCCTACAGCAATCAAAAATGATGAAAAATAGCCTTCATTGATAATACTCTTAATCTCTGCATTTCAGCACTTGGAAAAAATATAACATCCAAATGCAAATATATGGAAATATCTAGAAGTGTCCAGATAGAAGAGAAAGCCTTTTTTTTTTTTTTAAGCTCTTGAGCCCTTCATATTTGTACTCTTTTATTGCTTCATGGCATCACCATGTAAGTCTTTCCTTTATTTTCCATTTTATTTTCTGGGAAAGACTTTCTTGAGATTCTGATATGTCCACTTTCTAGTAAAAATATACACATGTGCTTGCATTCTTGTACATATGTTTCTCAAAGTACTGGGAAGGAGGTGGAATGAGTCATGGTGCCTGAGGTGTGAAGCCACAGAAGAAAAATATTGCATATTCCTAGAAAGTCCATTTTACTTGAAGATTTGGGAAAATAGTAAAAGAAAAATTGATACATTATGGAGTATGTAAACATTTCTATGCATGAAAAAAAGGGACTCCAAAATAAATTATGACCTTGTGGCAGACCATCTTTCTTCCTCCTTTCCCACCTTTTCCCCCTATTTCATCTCTCCTTTCCATTTTTTTTCTATCTTTAGGGGCTTTTCATGAAAGAGCTTGATAAAGATTTCCAGCCTACTTCTTCAGTTCCTTCCACACTTTTCATCTTCAGATGAAGACACAAAAGGTCTACTGCCGTTGTAGGATGCAAATTTACAGAGATCATCCTTAATTTAGGAAAAGTGGAAGGGTTATAGCGCAATACTTTCAGTTCAACTTGGAAAGATTTTTGTTTGACCACACTTTTTTGTGTGTGTGAAGTGAGGTCAATGTTTACGTTTTTGAATTTAAATATGCCATACATTTTATGTGGATATTTTATTTGATTTGATTTTTAAAATATTGGGAGATCAGATATTTAGAATGGTTTCTTACAAGCCTTTGCCAAAGTCTACCAGCTTAGCATTCATTCATTTACTCATATATTCATTTTTTGAGCAAATATTTACTGAGCTTCATTCTAATGTGAATACCACACTAAGTTTTAGAAATACAAAGTTGGCATAGTAGATGCCTGCAAGGAACTCAAAGTCAAGAGGTGAGCAAATGAACAACTAGTAATCCCATTAAGAAGCACTTTTATAAGAAACATGTACAACGTGCAGCAGGGTGGGGCAAGGTATGGAGAAGAGATAACCGAAGAGTGGAGGGATGGGGAGGTGGGAGGTAGAAGGGTGAAAAAAATAGCTGGGAAATGAAGGAAGAAATTCCAAAGAGGTCTCCTTTTTCTTCCTTGAAGAAAGGGCAATGGGTTAAATAAAGGATAGTCATTTATATTTATGTTTTAAAATAAGTTGATATTCCATAAGCTGCAATGTTAAATATGCTGGATACTTATATTGCTCTAAGTAAATTTGGCAGCTGTCTTTGTACAGTTGTTTGAAGGAAACTGGGAGGAATTATTTACATAAAGAACAAGATTCAAGCAATGCCTCCCACCTGATGGCCAAAGGGCCTACAATTCACCCAAGAATTGTTTTATTGAGTAATCACATCAGAAGACAAGCCATTGTTTGGTACATTAACTGTAGCATCAATGCATTGTATAATGAAAAGGTAGCTCTTAATTCATCATATTTGCCTCCAATGCATCTAGCAAGGTTTTGAGGAAATGGTGGACACAGTACAGTCTTGGAGATGGCTTGAAATTTTGTTTTTTTTTTTCTTTTTTGGAGATGGAGTCTCGCTCTGTCACCCAGGCTGGAATGCAGTGTCACAATCTCAGCTCACTGCAACCTCTGCCTCCTGGGTTCAAGTGATTCTCCTGCCTTAGCCTCCCGAGTAGCTGGGACTACAGGTGCGTGGCCACCAAGCCAAGCTAATTTTTTGTATTTTTAGTAGAGACGAGCTTTCACCATTAGCCAGGATGGTCTTGATCTCCTGACCTCGTGATCCGCCCGCCTTGGCCTTCCAAAATGCTGGCATTACAGGCATGAGCCACCACGCCCACTGATGGCTTGAAATTTTCAAATGCTATTGCTTAATTTGAAATGATCTTCTACTTTCTTTCTCTACATCCCATCTTAACACATATACACACATTCCAGTATAATTATCACCTCTCCAGTGGAGTCCACTGATCTATTTAAAGTATGTTCCTATTACCTTATTTTACACTCTGTTTCCTTCATACCAATACAATCATTCATATTTCATGTATTTGTTTTTATGACTTCCTCACTAAATTTTGAACTTCATATTCACATGATTATTTAAAAAAATATTGTACCAAAGTCCCTAACTGTTCAATAAATGTATACTGAATGAACACATCAATAAAGGGATGAACAAAGGAATAGTATCTGGAGCTGGAGATCTGATGAACTGAGCATGCCAAATTCCACAAATGTTTGGGTGGTTTAAAGCAAGGAATAACAATTTAGAATTGTGAATGGCTTCTTCTCCACTCTAAAGCAGTAAATGTGTGAATTCAAAGCTGTTCTAATTAATATTTCTCCCTCATATTTTAGACTGCTGTACTACCTTATGTATTAAAGAATTACATGGACATATTTTAGAGTATCTCCATAATGAGATATTTTGTCTTCCCTTGTTCTCTAGAATATGTAGTGTCCATGTCATTGCACTTTTCATCTGATCTCTCCATGCTGGGTTCAACGGTGAAGATACTCAGTGTAATCCTTAAGGCATTGAAGAAGGTAGTGTCCCTCAGGACAAATATTGTTGAATTAAGAATAAAGTTCATAGAGGCAAACTTATTTCTCTCATTTCCACTGATAATGTCTCCCCACACACACTCATGGAAAACAGATTTTGATGAAGGAAGTTAGGGAAAGAAATCACTGGAAGGTGGCTTTGAAATGAGAGAAGGACTTTTCTTATGTCTCCATTCTTCAGAAGAAGCCTAATTTTTCCTAATGGTCACATCACTAAAATCTGCTAAATGTTCATCACTTCAAAGCCCCAGAGAATCAGAGCTACTGAAAAGAATAGTGATGCCATAGCATCAAAGTAAACTACTGAATTTTAGATTGCAATAGCCAGATGTAAGTTAAGATTTTGTTGAAACAGAACAAATGCTCTGTCAAATGATAACTTCATATTACTTTGAGGGTTTCAGGATAAAAAGGTTGGGCATACAAAGGTAAGTATAGGCCAGGCGTGGTGGCTCACGCCTGTAATCCCAGCACTTTGGGAGGTTGAGGCGGGTGGATCACCTGAAGTTGGGAGTTCGAGACCAGCCTGGCCAACATGATGAAACCCCGTCTCAACTAAAAATACAAAAAAAAATTAGCCAGGCGTAGTGGCGGGCGCCTATAATCCCAGCTACTCAGGAGGGTGAGGGAGGAAAATCACTTGAACCTGGGGGTTGGAGGTTGCAGTGAGCCGAGATTGCTCCACTGCACTCCAGCCTGGGCAACAGAGCAAAACTCCATCTCAAAACAAAACAAAAAACAAAAAACAAAAAACAATAACGAAAAAAAAAACAAAGCTAAGTACAAAGATATCTCGGAAACTGCTTATAAGTTTTTTGTTTAATGAAATGGGGTTGACTTTGAGTGACTTTGCTGTTGGCATAGTTAGAATTCATGACTGAAGCAGGATGCATATACATGATACACATTTCAATAAATAATTAGCTACCATTTGTTAAGCATATAATAGGAGTATGTTACACGTATTACTTGTTTTCATTCCTAAGACAGCCCTATTTTATGAAAGATAACTGTGACTCAGAAACATTAAGGGAGATATAGACATAAATAACTAAAAGATTTGCAAATATGATTGAACCCAGGTCTAACTTATTACAAGATCTATTCTCTTCCCTGTACATTGTTGCTGTCTCCTTTTTGGACTTTACTGAAGACCGTGTGACACACCCTAAGCTCATTCTAATTATGAGGGAGACAAACATGGGTAAAGTGAACCAATAAATCATAATTTCTGTCAATTAGGCTACTCAACCAAGGGGATCCTTGTGAAGTTCTGAAAACCAGGCACCAACGGAAAGAGGCAGGCCTCTATTGGTGCGTGTGCATCTACCAGTAAAAGGTGACTTACTGGCTGGGTGTGGTGGCTCATACCTGTAATCCCAGTACTTTGGGAGGCCAAGGCAGGTGGATCATGAGGGCAGAAGATCGAGACCATCCTGGCTAACATGGTGAAACCCCGTCTCTACTAAAAATATGAATAATTAGCCAGGCGTGGTGGCAGGTGCCTGTAATCCCAGCTACTCGGGAGGCTGAGGCAGGAGAATGGCATGAGCCCAGGAGGCGGAGCTTGCAGTGAGCCGAGATCACACCTCTGCACTCTGGCCTGGGTTACAGAGCAAGACTCCATCGCAAAAAAAAAAAAAAAAGGTGATTTATGAGACAGGTCATCAAAGTCCAAAGAATGAGCCAAGTCTGTAGATCACCAAAATGAAGTACCTTGGGCATATAGGAAATGCCTTGTGGACCATATGTTACAAGAGAAAGAAGTGAGAGAAAGGCTTGGAAGGGAGAGAGAATAAATAATAATAAGACAAATAATTTATAATCTTATCAAAAATTATGTAAGGTAGGAATTATTATCTTTGTTTCACACCAGAGAAAACTAAGGTGCAAATGGTGAAGTGGCTTGTCCAAGTAGAACATATTATTTAGTAGGAGAATTGGAAATCATAATTGTAATTCTTTTTCTAGTGCTTCTAATTTTGCTAGTTATTATTTTTGGTCTGTAGTTGATTGGGTTTAAATAATTTGCCACCCTTAAATCAGTATTGTACTTTTTAGTACACGTAGGGAACACAGAAAAGAAAGAGAATATTGACAGTTTTTTTTTTTTTTTTTTTAAGGCAGGATTTTTCAAACCGGACACTATTGGTACTCTGGGTCAGATTATTCTATGTTGTGAGGGGCTGGCCTATGTATTCTAGGATTACTGGCAGCATCCCTGGCCTCTATTGACTAGTTGCCAGTAGCACTGTACTCCTGGTTTCAAAGACGACAAATGTCTCCAGATATTGCCAAATGTCCCTTGCAAGGCAAAATTCTCCTCTCTCCATTTGAGAATCATTGCTATAAAAGAGCCAGGGAGTAAAGTTACGAGCCTACACTTCACGCATCCAAATTGTAGTTCTGCTTTAGTTATTTGTGACCTCTGTAAACTTCAGAAACTTTTGAACTTATCTGAGATTCAGAGACTTTATTTAAAAAAAAATTGAGAAAATTATGATTATTTATTTTATGTAATCATTAGAATGCCCTACAATAATCATGTAGCTTGATGTGGATATGTTCTACATATGTAATAAGTGCTACTAAATAAAGAAGCATTTTTCTTATTTGTTTATGGTCATAAAAAATGGAAAACAAAAGAAAATAAAAAGCAGAGAACAGGGCTTAGATCATTTTAATAAATATACCTTGTTTCTTGAAGAGTATTGGAAATCATAGATAAAGGGGTGCTAACTCATAACAACTGAGACAACTGCTTCTTAAAACTGCCTTATAAGAAAACCTGGTAACTGTAATGAAGCTCTTTTGGTAACCCTTAAAGTTGTTAATTTCCATCCTGTAAGCTAGACAAGACAGTCCATTTCATTTTCATGTGTGTGAAACAATAAAGAAAGTCTTGTTCTTCTGTAATTGTAAAGCAAACACCGGACTTGGTTGAGTTAATTTCAGATCTGTCAAGAATTAGTTAAGTGACCCTGAGCAAGTCATTTCATTTTTCTGAATTTCAATTTTGTTATTTGTTCAATGGTAAGCAAATTGAATTAATTAATTTGCAATCTAGCTGGGAGCACTCAGTGAGATAATGTATGTGAAATAGAAATAACACTTACAAGTATAAAGTGCAGCACCAAACCCAGAAATATTACTAGAGCTGTCTTTCAACATACAAAGGTAAAAATATTTCAGAAACAGCTGCTTCAAACAATGAGGTACTTCTATTTTTTCCCGAACTCTAAATCATACAACATGCTCCACACAGGCCTGAAGAGACTAGATTTAAAGAGAAAAGGGATGAATTGACTCACTTTACAAATAGGAAACTCTTGTCAAACAATCCTCTAGTTATTCAAACTGTATCACAAATCATTTCAAATATCCAGAAATCAATAACCGTAAACATTTTATTCTGATTTCTTTACATTGTTCTTTTGCAAAGTAAAAGTTATAGAGCCCAAAGGAATAATTTTACCCAATCTCTCCTTGAGTTTTAATGATAATTCTGAATATTAGTCAGGCTTATATGCTCCAGAAACATAAGCAAATTGTTAATAGAGATGAGTTTGTTAATTAAAATTACCAGAGGCAGAAGAATACCTGTAACAATGAGAAATATGATGAAACTATAAAAGGCACATGAAATTAAATACTGTGCCTATTTTGGAATATATATAATATGTATATACTATATATTATATATTTTATAATAATATATATTTTTATAAATTATGACTTCTATAATTTATAAATTATATGGTAACATAACATATCATTTATAAATTATATAATTTATAATATTTTATAATAATGTATATTATATATTATATAATTGGACTATATAAAGTTTTGAAATTGAAAATATGAAAGCATATTTTCAATTGTCATACATTACAGTATAACAATTGAAGACATGCTTTCAACAACAACAAAAAAACTATGAATATTTAACTGGCAATTCAGTATCTGTATGCCTGGAGAAAACGTATTTTTTTCTGCACCCTAGAACTGGTTTCCTCGCTGATATTTTAAAAAATTGCATTGTTTATTACCCTCTTTCTTGTCCTTCTTCAGCCACCCCTCAGGTGGCTAAAGATAATGGTAGTTTGTTTCCATGAGACTGAATGTTTGAGTATCACTTTAAAAGAAAAATGTTCTGTCTTTTTCTGTTCTCAGAAGTTGTCGTTTCCAATGGTTTTACACATTTATCTTTTTTTTTACACATTTGTTTCTTTTCCAATGGTTTTACACATTTATCTGTCTTTTTTTTTTTTTTACACATTTGTCTCTTTTCTCACTTCCATACTTCTACCACTTCTTTATTCATTTGGTTCTTAATTCTGGAGATGTTGGGTAGATGGCTCTCACCGGCCAAAGTTGTGAGAATAAAAATTGCATTGTTAACTAGTAAGATACCATTCAGTACCATGGACAGCAACACAGATGCCTTGCCCTGGACCTGGCAGGACTTTGTAATTCGCTACTAAGCCCACCAATAAGATTCTGCAGGGTCCATACCCACAATTAGTAGTTTATCTGTCCATTTGGGCAGGACTCTATTCCTCCTTTACTTGTTGGTGTGGTATGTTTATATAGTTCTAAGGAAGAAGTTAAGCCTTTCAAATAAACGACAAAGAGATCACAAACGGAACGTGAGTTGTAGCCTTGGCCAGTGAACATTTCCTTGCGCTCTACACAAGAATCAAATGTGTTTTGTGAAGCCTTGGATTTCAAATGCTTGCGTATAGATGATATATAGATTTGCTTAATCATAATGTGAATATAACATATCTTATTTTACTTCTTATATCTTTGTACTGTGTGTCAGAAACTTCTTTGTGCTTTCTTTACATTCGCAGTCATGTATTTGTCTTTTGTAAGAAACCTTTACTTGGATTTTGAAACCAAGAAACAAAGTGTGCCAGTCATATTAGTTCTCTCCCATAGGTTATGGACTCAGCAATACTTCTGACAGATATCTACCTGATCTGGAGGGCCTTCAATGTAATCTTCTAAATGTTTATTGAAGGTTAGTACACACATTTTTCCTTTTCATTGTAGAAAGGATAAAACCTGTACAACAATTGCATTTTACAACAGCCCCTTCTCAGTGTCATAAAACTGAAGTTGTAATTTAGGATTGATAGCTACAGAAAAGAACAGGAGTTCTGGATTTTTAAAGTTTAAGACAAACACTTTTCACATGCACCAGTTAAACCTCCAGCACTTACAATCCTGTGAAGTAAATTCAGGCCCTGGGGCTTGATGGGATAAGCACTACAGGTACTTTATAACAGCAAGTGAAATCATCAATTTAACACATTTGATACATGTGCTGCTCAGTTTTTGAAAAGTAAAAAGAAAGCTGAAGGAAATGAACATGGCATATGACTTGATGATAAGCATTTTGAAAATGCACATCTACAATAGAAACATTTTTTTTTTTTGCAGTTACATAAGCCTTCTAGAGGCCTCTCTGCAGAGTCAGCAAAGTGCCATGCATTGGCAATCAGCCTGGAGGGAGGTGAGGTCACCGACCAGCTTGTAGAAGGGAGACCTTGCATTTTTGTAAAGATTTTGATCAATAATATGGAGCTGGTATTTTCTACCTTGACTAAACTCTGACATTTGGAGAATTAGAATATTGCATAAACAACTTTGTGCCCGCTGAAAACCTAGTTACTGTCTCATTCTCCTGCTCAGGACAGTACTTCCACCTTAGTTGGCTTCAACAGCAAAAGTACACCATAGTTAATGTGAGGTAACAGGAGCAATCATCAAGAATCAATTCTGGCTAAGAATTTTATTTTGAACTTCAGCAGCTGAGTTGAAAGTACATAACATTTATAATAAGGGAAAATAAGAAACAACAAACTCAAGTCCAAATGCTTGAGAAGAGAAGCACAAAAAAGGCAAGTATCTACATTTTTTCCAGCTTAATCTATGAGCATGTACCAGGTGTCAAAGACTATGTAAGGTACTTGAGGTCTAAAATGAATATCGTCTTTGTCCATAGACTAGACAGTGAAAACAAAACAATTTTATGATATCATACTAGTAATATTAAAACATACAAACTGTAAATTATTTTAAAAGATAGAATGGGCCAAGCACAGTGGCTCATGCCTGTAATCCCAGCACTTTGGGAGGCCGAGGCGGGCAGATCACGAGGTCAGGAGCTTGAGACCAGCCTGGCCAATATGGTGAAACTCCATCTCTACTAAAAATACAAAAACTAGCCGGGCGTTGTGGCTCGCATCTGCTGTCTCAGCTACTCAGGAGGCTGAGGCAGAAGAATCAGTTGAACCTGGGAGGCAGAGGTTGCCCTGAGCTGAGATCGCGCCACTGCACTCCAGCCTGGGCAACAGAGCGAGACTCCATCTCAAAAAAATATATATATAGTTGTCAATATCTGCTATACCCAATCCATGCCAACCCATGAGATAAAGAACAGTGTTAAAGGGAGGAAGGTATAAGGGAGTAAGCTAAATCCTAGAAAGTATGACTATGTTGGAACAAGAGATCGACAGATTATGAATACTTATGAAAGCCAGAGTTTAGTGGAAAAAATATTTTGAATGTGACATAATATTGAAGATTTTAAAACAATAAAATAATGACTCAATTTTAATAAAGCTAGTTCTTATATAGACATGGGGCAGATTTATTTGATGTTGACCATCAAACCCACAGTGGGAGAGTGTTAGTGAGCATTTGCTGGGGGTGTCAGTGGAAAAACACAGTTGAACCAGTTAAGTAGACAATGAGTAGTATAGGTAAGAAATAAGAGTCTAAACTAAAGGCATGATCACGGGATAACAGGGAAGGAAATTATTTGAGAGTAATTAAGGGGGTAAAAAGAGCATCATAACTTTTAATAATCAATATGCAGTGGAAACATTACAATTAATCTACCCAATAACTCTTGGGGCAATCATCCTTGTGAATGGCAATGTGAGGTTTCGACACGAAAAGTATCAGCTCTCCAAGAAAAAGGATCAATAAGAATAAATATTATATATTCATAGAAATACAGGCAGGAAAAGAAATCGTATTGAAGTTACACCTAGTTTCTACAAAAGGTGAACAGAAATTCAGGAAACATTGTTCTACTCTAAGATATTCATACTCAACAGAAAAGTGTACAGTCACCAAAACATGCGTTCTAGAATGTTCTTGGAAACGCTATTTGTAATTGCCTCAAAATAAAAACAAAATCTATCATCAGTAAAGCTGATAAAATGTGCCATATTTTCACAACAGAATACTATTGTCAATAACAATTATGACCTCACAGAAAATACATATAAATCTCATAAACATAGTGCGAAATGAAAGAAGCCAGAAACAAGACTGTATACTGTATGATTCTATGGATATAAAGTGGACAAAGTTTTATGAAGTTAAACATCAGCAAAGCTGTTACTTTTGAAGGAGATAGTGATTAAAAGGGGACATAGAGAAGGAGGGAAATTCTAGTAACCTTGTTTTATGACCTGTGTGGGTTCTATGAATGTGATCAGTTTGACAAAACCCATCCAGCTCTCCTTTTATAATTTATGCCATGCACTTTTCTGCATATTTATTATACTTTAACAAAAAATGTTGATAAAAATGATGCTTAGTGAAAATGAGAAAATCTAGTCATAGACAAGAGATGGGTTGTTGTGTAAATGGGTATAGGCTTCTCAGATAGGCCTGTTACACCTATCTCTATGTAGCATTTCACATACTAGGATGGAGAAACAAATTAGCCTCTCTCAGTGTTAATTGTATCACTGGTTTAAAGTGATTCCTCAAAAATGTATTATTTTGACTTCATAGTCACCTGCATGCTTTGAAGAGTTTAGGTTTACACAAACTGCATCAAAAAGTGTCTGCTGGTTGCTTTTTGTGTCTGTATAATCATCCCAAGGTCTTGTGTGGGCTGCCCATGGAAACTCACAAGTGGTCATGTATTGGAACAATGTTCTACTTTATCCCCTGGAAAGAATGGCTTCCAGCCAACTCATGAGAAGAATGAAAGTGCTTTGTATCAGACTCCCTGCTGTGCATTAGAATTTCAGTTACAGCTGCTACCTTGTTATAACACCCACATTTCTTTACTTACAAGGCCAACCTCACAGAAAGAAAAAAAAAAAAGCCTGTATTCATTGTCTAATTATCAACTTCATATACCTTGGAAACAGACTGTAGTTCAAACATGTGTATAACTCAAAATATTATTGTAAGGTTAAGATCTGGAACAATAAAAAAAATTCTTGTCACTGTTAATAACCTCATGTAAAAATAATGACTACATAAAACTAGTGCTTTTTAAAAAATTTAACTTTTTAATGGACAGATTTATTAGTAGAAATATGAAATGATTTAGATAAATGGAGAGGAAAAAAATCTAACACAGAACAAGATGGGCCGAGAACTTGTTTCAGAGCTTTGGCAGCCTGCCGAGCACACCTCTCAATGGGGACATGCAACTGTAATCTTTATTATGGAGTGATCATAAGTGGACTGATTCTGAGCACCATCTGCTCTCAATGAAGCATTGGAGTTACAGGCTGCTCACTCTGATATGCCCTTCACCTCTGCTCTCCAATGTCACCCAAAGTCCCATTTTGAAAGGTTGAGTTTTATTAAATGGAAAAGTTTATTATAATTAATATTCTTTATGAGAGCCATTTATTTTTAATGAATAGCAGAATGGGCAGCTGAGGCTCCCTCTTCAATCCTGAAAAGCAAACTAAATGTGGTGAAAGCTATCCAGAGATTTCTATTTACGCATTAGGGGGATGAACTTTCAGTTGGATGCCCACATGAATCTTTGAATGTTAGACACTACGTCAACTCTTTAGCCTACTTGCGTTGTGGTGTGGGTACTCAATTTAAAATAGTGACAAAGAGAGAGACATATGTCTTATCCTTAATATAAAATAAAAAGTTGTGCATTCTCACTTTTAATATAATATCCTAAAGTAAACAAGGTATCCTGAATTTCATTTGTTTCATTGTGCCCTGTTGAATATTATTAGGCATAATTAAGGATCTCAAGTTGAGAATATTCTGGATTTAGGGGTTCCCTAAGGCCAATGACTGGTGTTCTTATAAAAGAAAGGAGAAGGAGATTGGAGATACAGACCTCCAGCAAGGAAAGCCACTTAAAGATGGGGGCAGAGATTGGAGTGTTCCATCAACAAGTCTAAAAACACCAGGGATGGCTGGCAGACATCAGAAGCTAGGATAGAGGCATCGAATAGATTTTCCTGCAGAGCTTCCAGAAGCAATCAACCTTGCCGACACTAAAATTTTGGACTTCTGACCTCCAGAATTTGAAAAACTACATTTCTGTTGTCTTAAGTTGCCCAGTTTGTGGTACTTTGTTACGGCAGCCCTAAAATACTACTACAGGGATAGTTGCTGTTAATTTAGATTTTCTGGGAATCTTTTGGTGAACTTAGGAAAAACAGATTTCACTGATGTTCAGAAGACACCGGCTGTTTAAGTAGCTACACCTAAATGTATTTGCTTTTCTCTTTCAGATATTTTGCTCATTGACTCCTTCTCTTCCTTTCCTTTGCTGATGTATGTTAGAATGTTTAGAAATGAAAGAAATTATTCTTTGTGAGTGATATTTCAGATAACATAATAAAAATAAAAGATTTCAGGAAATTCATGGTAGTGGTTTTAGAAGATTCATCAGAGATTCCATGAACAGTAAGACAATGTAAGTATAAAGATGACACTACTTTTCATATAAGCCAAAAAAACTATAGAGTTAAATATTATCTTTTCGATATGTTAGCACCATTGCTCACTCTGATTATGGAAATACAACACATTTCCCCAAAAGACAATGTACATTTACACATGAAACCAGCCTGCCTTTGTATTTTCCTGATTAGTGTCACCAGAGTGTCTGGCGACTTACCTAAGGCAAACTCCTACCACCCAAATAACATATGTTACTATTTCCTGGAACTTCCATTCCTGGGGCCTCTCTGAAAGGATACCACTAAATTACTGTCAGAATGCATACTTATGGCTCAGCATAACTCAATTACCTTGACAACATTTTTTACATGTATTTTTCATTACTTAAAGATTTATTGCTTTGTCCCTTAAATAAAAACTGTGAAGCAAATAAAAAACAATTTATTCCTAATTTGCAAATGCAGTAACAAACAACCTTGGCCCCTTAAAAATGAGATTACTGAGGGACTGAGGGTAATGTTCTAAGAATCTCTTTGTCATCAAACAGAATTTTTAAACAGAGATAAGTTTTAAGATTGAAGCAGTTCTCTTTTAAGACTATTCCTTATCTTGTGAAGTTGCCCTTGTAGAAGGTGTACAATGACAAAATAGTGAAGTATTAGGGTTGACAGAGCATAGCTGGGGGAAATGGAAAGGATTTCAATGTTAACAAATATTTTGAAGTTTTCAGTAACTCTAATGGCATATGCATAAAGGAAAATGAACAAAGGGTTTTAAAATAATAATAGGTGCATAGCAATTACAGGCATAATATGGAAAGAAGAAACACTTTGATACAATGAAACAAAATGTGTTAAAGGAAAAAAACAACAAAACACAGGACTTCAGTTTTTCTCAAGGGAGTTAAATGCATTTGATAGATATTTGAGAACCAGTAAGTTTTATAGGGAAGTCACAAGACCTAGATTACAACAAATGCTTTGAATCTATTTTAACTGCTAGTTGACAAGTTACATTGCTTGGCTGTATTTTTCATTCCTTACCTGCGAAATGCTGGAATAAGGGAAAATGATTCTCTATTAGTTTTCTAGGGCTGTTGCAACAAATTACCATGAATTTGGTAGATTACCACAAGAGTAATTCTCTCAAAGTCCTGGACGCTGGAAGTCCAAAACCAAGGTATTTCTAGATCCATGCTACCTCTGAAGGCTCTAGGGAAGAATCTTTCCTTGCCTCTTCCCAGTGCCTGCTGGCTCCTAGCAATGCTTGGCATTCCTAGGTTTGTGTATGCTCCGCTCCATCATCTGGCTCTGTCACTTTCTTCTCTCTCTGATTCCTCAGTGTCTGTGCATCTGTGTGTCCTCTTCTCTTCTTACAAGGACACTAGTCATTAGGGCTTGCCATAATCCACTATGACCTGATCTTCACTAACTACAACTACAAATACCCTATTTCCAAAAAAAGATCACATTCTGAGTTTCTGGGTGGACATGCATTGGGACACTATTTAACCCACTATAGTTTCCAATGCAACAATGCTAAAATAATTCTGATTTTTTAAATGTCCTCACTAGCTAAAGCAGGGCAAAAGGAGCAACAATGTACCTCAGTTCTTTATGAACTCTCATGTAAGGATGGAAAAAAAAAGAAAATTAATCATTTGGTCTCAGGGTTTGCCTGTAAGGTAACAAAGGCTGTTGTTACAGTATCTAGTGCAAGTTAACCCAGGTAGGTAGAAAACATGATGTTGGGAGGATTCAAACTAGCTGCTGTCTTTCATAATACCACCAACTCTGGGCAGACGCAGACAAAATAACTGCCCCTTAAAAATAGAGGCAAATGAAAAACTCCAAACCTGTCTATCACTGCTAACTAAAAAATTAATCCAGTAACATTCTGTTTCTGATGGGTGAGTGAAGTTGTCTTTATAAACACCAATAGCTGTTCCAACTAATGGGAACCATATGTGAACTACTGTATTTGTGTTTTCCTCTTCACTTCCCATTAAGTACTGTCATTTGTAATAATGATAAACAATTGATATTCCAAAAGATATTTCATAATCTTTAATTTATGAAGGGTCTCATATATCTATTGCTTCCAGGCAATTTTCTATTCATGACCTTTTGACTCTGCAGACCAGACAGTGTGGTAAGAATACTACCATATGGATTACATATCTAATAGAAATATACTGATTTTTAAAGAGCTAACATATCCACTGTGGATGGCTGCACTTGATGGAGAGAACCCTAGGAATTAGGGAATTTAATTATCTCCATTTTGAGGATGAGAATATTGAGGTTAAGGATATTAATTAAACTCTTCAAGGTCACAAACCTAGTGAATGAAGGACTTCCAATTAAAAATCCAAACAGTTTTGAATCAGAGCCCATGCAATTTACCATTGTACCATACTGCATTTCATCCTCGTTTAAATCTCAAATTTGCATACCAGCTTCTAGGAACTTCAGGACTTTCCTCATCTTAAACCTTTCACAGGGAATTTCTCTGCCGTTCTCATTCCACTCAGTCCCCGGTTAAGCATGCTATATCTCTTCCAGGACACTAGTCTTGGATTTGGCTCCAGTTTCTGAATCAAGTATCTCTTAAGGCCCCTACTCCCTCAGGCTACTTCCTTGCCATCTAAATGAAAAATCCAGGAGAGCATTATTTTGCTGTCAGGGTTTGGTTACTCTTCTCAGAATGGGGAAACAGAATAGTAACCGACATAGGGAAATTAGAGCAGTTTCATGAGAATGTAACATCTTCCTTTCCTGGATTTTTCTTCATGGGAATCTTAAAGAATACCTAAAAATAATTTAACATATTCGAGACCACTCTGCCCAACATGGTGAAACCCTGTCTCTATTAAAAATACAAAAAAAATAAAATTAGCCGAGCATGGTGTCGTGCGCCTGTAATCCCGACTACTCCGGAGGCTGAGGCAGGGGAATTGCTCGAACAAGGCAGGTGGAGGTTGCAGTGAGCTGAAATCCGGCCACTGCACTCCAGCCTGAGTGAAAGAGTAAGACATCTTCTCAAATAAATAAATATATAAGTAATTTAACATAAAGGATAACTGAATCAGTTCCACAGAACTGCAATGGTTGGAGTCTAAATTGGCTTTGATAGAGTTAAATCCATCTCAGCTTCAATGTTTTGTTGTTGTTCTTTATTTTTCCTCCTTTGAGCATCTGATCTTCAAAATCCTTGGAAGGCTCAAAACCATGCTAACTCTGGTTTCGGATCTCCAGAGCAAACCTTGGATTCCCTCTGCCATCTTACTCACTTTAACCTGGGAGGGACGTACACAGTCTGCACATTTCCTCTTGCTTCAGGGAAGCCATAAGTCAGTTCTCCTCCTGTCAAGTCCTCAGGAATTGTCCACAGTGGAGTTATCTGTAGCCTTAGGCTTACTTTACCCCAACTGCCCAAGTTTCACCTTTGCAACTTTACACTCCTGAGATTCTACTAAAGTACTGATATTCCTGTTTTCACTTTATCCTGCTGAATAGTTTTAAAGGGGTAAGAGCCCAGGGGAGGTTGGTGGCCTAAAACCAAGGAAAGACTAGTCTTGTGAAAATAGGCTAATGAGAAATCCACCCTTAGTTATAGTGTATTTACTTCCAGGACAGTGTTTCCTAACAGGCGGTGAGTACAAAACCAGTGACAGTGTTTTCGGTGATGCATGGATGAATATGACAAAACTGTAAAATTGTGTATTTATCATAATATATAGCACAAAGGAAAACACAACTATTCTATCAAGCCTTTGTTTCGTAGGACTAGGAAACGTTGACACAATGGGTAGCTCTAAAGTCCATTTAAAGGGGAGAAAAACACTAAATAATAACATAAGCAGTACACAGCAATGGCAAGACATGGAATGCTACTCTGTGAATGACAGGAGTTAGAAAGTCTTGTTTTAAAATACCAAAAAACATTAAAAGCAGGAAATAAACATGCACATTCAGACTTTGAAGTGAGATGACTCACCAACTGAGTCACCTTAGACAAAATTACTTTAATTTCTGTGGCCTCCTCCGCTTCCTTCAAAATGTTGGAAAGTCTTTCTCAAAGTGCATTTATGAGGATTAAATAATATAACTATGTAATAAGGTCCATCATACATAGTTAATAAAATTTTGTTTATGTTCCTACCCCCTACACCCACCTGCTAAAATAATAAGCATATTAAGTAATGCCTATGGGTGGCCGGAGATCTACAAATGTTTTTCTTTCTCCTCTGTGTTGCCTCTTTTCTTTCTCTCCCACAGATGACCTCCATTAGTCCTTGAAAGGAAGATTTATTCTGTGAAGATTTTTGGATTCATATTACAAAGAAAGAAACCCACAAACTTCAAACTCTTTTAATATCTGTTCTAAGCTGTTTTGTTTATTTTGGAAGATGGGAATTGGCCACTTCTATTTTCCAGTGGCTGTTTAGAAGCTGGGTCACTACAGGTTAACTTCTTAAAGAAATGAAAAACAAGTTGCCTTTTCCAGAAAAAAAAAAAAAAAATTGACTTTCAGTGAGAATAAAGCAATGTTCCAGTAATACTGAGCAGTTCTTTAGCAATTTTTCAATACTCATCAGTGATAAATCTTTTATAAGGAATGTAATTCAGTGGTTCTTCAATTTAAATATACTTTTGAACTATCAATATAAGTAAAATATTGATTTCATAGGAATATGGAATTATTTGACTGAAAATTATAAAATTATAAATTGATTGAAGCAGAAATTATTTTAATAGAGAGATATGTGAGTATTTTTCAATGATTCTTTGCATAAAGTATGTTAATTTTGTAGTGTTTATTTTTATATATAATGAAAAGCTTGTTTACAAAACACTTTTAAAGGAAGACAGACTTAGCTAGCTTTTCCATTTAAAAAAAGTTTAATAATTATATACAGAAATATCTGTGTACTGTGTTTTAAATCACAGACATTAGATAGAAAAGAAATTAATCTTATAACTCTAACCTTTTAAAAAAGTTTTCAATCTCTCTTTTCAAGAGGATATTTATCTAATAAAACTAAAAAGAAGAAAAACATCTAAGGCACTGTAAATACTCAGAAGACAGTACTAAGGCAGCTCTGAGAAGCTTTCACTTGGAGAAGATAACCTACTCATACTGGGACTTTGAGTTGAAAATCCTTTAGAGATATGGCAAGGAAGGAGACAGCTATAAGGCAAAATGTTTGGGACTTGCCATTGGAAGAAGAAGACCATGACTCTATTATTTCTAGGAGGAAAATATCACAATATTCTTATAAATTGATCTGGCTAATTTACCTCTTTATAAGTTTAACTCCTAGTAAGTGAACTAAAATATTCTTCTCTCGTAAAATAAAGTTTGTGTGTGTGTGTGTGTATATATATATATATAAACACACATATATATACATATATACACATATATACACATATTTAAATATCATACCACATATTTAAAATATCATAAAATATCAATATAAAATATCAATAGACTTTATAGTTCTTCAAACAATAATTAGAAGAGATAATGAAAGGGAAAAAAACTCCATAGGCAGTAGTAAGTTTAAATATTAAATAGTTAGGAATAAGATTAAAATGAACAAAATATAAAGACGATTTTTAAATTTGCCAAAAGATCAAAAGTAGATTTGGACCAAGGAAAGGCCAAACACTATTGTTAGAGAGGTTAAATCAATATTATAAAAACATCAATTATTTCCCAGTTAGTAAAATACAACAGAATCATAATAAATATAGCGATTTATTATCTGGAGCTAGTCAAGTTTACTATAATATCCTTGTTTAAAAATATATACCAAATAAGAATGACTAGAAGAAAAACCTGAAAAAAATGAGTAATGGGGAACAAGTTAGACCTATCAGAAATTAAAACATATTAGAAGCCCTCTATAATAAGTTTTTTTCAAAAGGTGTAGGTAATAGCACATTAGCAGTTAGCAATTTTTTAGAATAGAAAAGTCCGGAATTGACCCATGTGCATAAAGAAATACAACATGAGTTTTCAGGAATGTTTGAAGTCACTGAGGGAAGTAAACTTTTTAATCAGTAATGCTGGCACAACTGGATAATCATTTACAAAAGGATATAACTGGATCTAGGTCCCACACTTCACAGCTGAGTAATTCCAAATAGATTGGAGATTTTTACAATACAAGTGTTTCTGGTCACAGCGGCTCATGCCTGTAATCCCAGTGCTTTGGGGAGCCCAGGTGGGAGGATCCCTTGAGGCCAGAAGTTTGAGAGCTGCCTGGGCAACAAGTGAGAACCCATATCTACAAAAACATTTTTAAAATAGTTGGGTGTGGTAATGTGTGCCTGTAGTCTCAGCTACTCAGGAGATTGAGGCAGGAGGAATCATTTAAGTCTAGGAGATTAAGACTGCAGTGAGCTATGATCTCTCCATTGCACTCCAACGTAAGTGACAGACAAATTCTAGATAAAAATCATAGATAGATTACTTTATATCCAAGGAATGAAGATAGTCTTGTTAGCATTCAAAATCTAGAAGCAGCAAAAGTCAAGACTGATACATTAAGTCTTAAAAGAACAGTAAAGCACCGCAGAGAAGTCACAAACAACAACAACAAAAAATGCAAATGATACTACAGGCAACTGGTTTCTTTTCCGAGTACATAAAATGCTCCTAAAAATTAAGAGAAAATTGTCAACAATCTAATTAATTTAAAAACAGGACATAAAATGTGAAGAGAGTTCCCCCCAAAAAGCTAAGTAGATGACACTTAAGTTTATGAAAAAAAGTGGGCAGTCACATTTGAATGATACATACAAATTAAACTACAAAAAGATGCCACTATTCAATAGACAAAAATCCAGAAGTTTTACAGTATGCTCTGTGGGCAATGCTATGGAGAAATAAGCCCTCCATAACATTGCTGGAAATGATTGCAAGATGGCATAACTACCACAGAGGAGAATCTGGCAATATCAAACAAAATTGCGTATGCATTAACTGCTTGACTCAGCATTCCCACTGTAAAGATTTCATCTAGGAAAGAAAGAAAACCATCCAGGTATGAAATACCAAGGCAAATGGTTATCCCTCGCAGAATTATTTGAAACAACAGAAGATTGGAATAAATCCAAATATTCAAATTAAAGGATTGGTTTAATGAACCACTTCACTTCCACAAAAAGAATGTATTACACAGCTATGAAAAAAGAATGATGACCAGTATTTATGTATGAAGCAAATTACTTCCAGGACATAGTAAATGAAAATTTTAAAGAAGTTGAAATATGAATATACATGTGCATGTATTTGCTTATTTTTATAAAAAATAAACACTGGGGAAGCAACAAGAAATACTAAAAATGTTTACTTATAAAGGGCATAGGAAATAAAAGCAAGATTTCTGAGAATAATTTAAAACATTTTTCTCTTTTAAACTATGTAAATGGTTTTATTTACTTTTTAAAACATGACTAAATTACAAGAAATAATCCTAAAATTAAAAACAAAGTGAAATAAATGAATAAAATTCTACATGTAATATTCTAGGACAAAAAGGACTGTAAAAATGGCTTGCACTTCACTTAGTGGGTTATTTATTTTAGGTAGCATTGTTGATATCATTATGAAATGTAGGATAGGCCTGGCGCAGTGGCTCACACCTGTAATCCCAGCACTTTGGGAGGCTGAGGCGAGTGGATCACGAGGTCAGGAGATTGAGACCATCCTGGCCAACATGGTGAAACCCCGTCTCTACTAAAAACACAAAAATTAGCTGGGACTGGTGGCATATGCCTGTAATCCCAGCTACTCAGGAGGCTGAGGCAGGAGAATTCCTTGTACCAGGGAGTCGGAGGTTGCAGTGAGCTGAGATCACGCCACTGCGCTCCAGCCTGGCAACAGAGCGAGACTCTGTCTCAAAAACAAAAACAAAAACAAAAACAAAAAAAAGAGTACGATAAATTAAGTAAATATGTAGGGAAATATTATTAGAAATCAGTATTTCAACATAAGAGAAAAAAAGAATATAAAGAACTTTAAAGAAAAAACCCTATAATATTACATTTGTATTAGGAATATCAAATACAGTTATATATCTATATACATCTCTCTGTATATATATCTATTCCATCTCTATATCTCTCTATCTCTAACTCTGTCCCCATTTCTATCTTTTTCTATCTATCTCTTTCCAACTTTGTTCACTGAAATGGCCTAGAAGCAATACCTAGCCAGTAGCAATGAGCACACCAGCATTGGTTTCTAAAAGAATTTCTCAGTAAGAGGACCAAAGTTCCTTGCAAAACTGATGATATCAGATCTAAAACAGAAAAGGAAGAGGAGCACATGGGCTATTGTTTGTGAGAATCACAGACAACTAATGGGAACTTCACAAGAGGACGTAGGAGTTAGCCAGCCAACTTTAAATCAATTTGACCACTGAAAAGAAAAATGACCATATCTGATTGAAAACAAAAATAAATAAAACTATGTAAGCTTTTAATAATCCTTTTTGCATAATACCAATCCATCCAACAAACTACTCCCCATACCAAGGAGAAAACATGCATTTGTGGGCAATGTGTAGGAGCAGACACACACATGCATGCATGTGCACGCTCACACACATACACCACTTTGCAGTGGTCATATCTGGTGGTCCATACCTTTACCAAATGAACCACGTCAGCATCCTACTTGGGAGTGACAACTTGACATTTTGTGCTTTGTGATATGATGCATTTTGAAGACAACTTCGTTAGCTATTTAGCATTCTCAAAATGTTAAACTGAATATACAATCTTATAGTTCTAACTTCCAGTTTATAGAAAATATACAGTAAACAGGAAAGTTCAATGACCAATGAGGAGATAAACATATTCAGAGTATGGAGCATTCTACAGGTCAGATCTCTGCAAAGAATTAACATCATAGGACAAAACAAAGCAAAACAGAACAAATACTATGCAAATATTTCCATAGATTTTAAAAGAATAACAAACCAAAGCAGCAAAATAGGATGTGTGAATCTTCATTGGCTCATTGTTAGGAGAAAAAAGTTATAGGAGATATTGGATGGCAGGAATAAAGACATTCATGTATGGCCTTGAATTAGATAATAGTAGTCAATATTACCAGATTTCATTATTGTAATAATATTATTATAGTCATGAAGAAGAATCCTCTAATTCTTAGAAAACACACGGTACAATTTTTAGAGGAAAAGTGACCTGACGTCTATACTTACTTGCGTTCAAAAGACTCAGCAAAAAAATTATAAAAAGGAAACATATATGGCAAAATGTTAACTTTTTTATGTAGATACAACTTTGCACTGTCCTTTCAAGTTTTTAGTATGCTTTACATTTTTTATTATAAAACGTTGGGATAAAAGTCTCCTGCAGACTTGTTACCCTGTTGACAGGTTGTATAAAAATTATTCATTTAGGCTGGGTGTGATGGCTCACCCTTGTAATCCTAGTACTTTGGGAGGCCAAGGTGGGCAGATCACTTGAGTCTAGGAGTTCGAGACCAGCCTGGGCAACATGGCAAAACCCTGTCTCTACAAAAAATACAAAAATTAGCCGGGGGTGGTGGTGCGTGCTTGTAGTCTCAGCTACCTCTGAAGGCTGAGGTGGAAAGATCACTTGAGCCCTGGAGACGGAGATTGCAGTGAGCTGACATCGTGCCACTGCACCCCAGCCTGGGTGACAGAGTGAAACCCAATCTCAAAAAAAAAAAAAAAAAAGAAAGAAATTATCCACTTACATAGTTAATACTCCATGTTACTTGGTTTTAAACAGAAATCAGAAGAAACAACTTTTTTTTTAATTTAATTTTGTTTTGTTAGGTCTTCCCTTTCAAGATATTACTTTCTATCATAATACACTGACAGGACAAGAGAAACTCTTAAATAGAATCATTATTGTAAGCTGCTAAGTCATGGAGCAGGATGGACATTCAGGGCATGCAGGCCAGTAGGTCGATGAAGCTAAACTGAAACCTGTCCCCTAAAGATTCAATTTATCTTTCTGTCTTGCATTACCTGAAGCAGTTGGATTTTTTTGTTTTAAATTCGGGAGGGTCAGAGTGTCAGAGTGGGGAAAACAACAACGAGGCTTTAGATGGGGCAAGAACCACACAAAGCAGAAATTTCCTGCATCACTATTACAACATACTGCACCAGCTGCTTTACCACTTCAGTCATGATTAACATTCCCAGAGATAACGGGCCCAGCATAGCTTACACGCATTGCTGCTCATCCCTCCTGATCAACAATACTGTGAACTCTGGGGGAGGAATAGGCTTCCCGAAAATAACGTCAAAGCGTCTTCAGAGAGAAAATGTCTGCAGGATAATAAAATTTCAGAAGTCATCCATGAATCATATGCATATCATAAGGATTTTGAAAAATCTTTGACTCTGCATGTTAAAATTATTTTTATGAATAAGCTTTATTTTTTAGAGTAGTTTTAGGTTCACAGCAAAATTTAGTGGGAAATACAGACAATTTCCATATACTCCATGTCTCCACCCAGACTCAATCTCCTTCACCATCAGCATCCCATACCACAATGGTTCATTTGTTACAATCGTTGAACCTGCTGATAAGGTACAGGACACAATACCCCAAAATATGGCTCCTTGGCATTTGAGAAAACAGCAGAAGCACAGAGGCCATTCTCGTGTTTCTTTCTTCCCCAAAGCAAGCCTTGAAACCTAGGAAGGTCACTCTCTGACCTTTCCCTCCTTTCTCCTCTGAGGACACTCAAGTATCCTACACTGTGTCCAGTTGGAAAGAATATCACATGGGGATGCCAGGAAGAATCTGAACAGACTGTGCTTAGCTTCCCCCAGTTTATTACCATTAGATCTTACTCTTTTATGCTTCAATCATACTTCTGAATGACTGTGCATAGAAATACACAGATTTCCCTGTTTCTTTGGGCCTTCATTTCTGAATACTCCTGTGTCATATAAAACTTGTACTAAATAAATTTGAATGCTTTTTCACTTTTTTTTTTTTTTTTTTAAGACGGAGTCTTGCTCTGTTGCCAGGCAGGAGGGCAGTGGCGCGATCTCGGCTCACTGCAACCTCCACCTCCCAGGTTCAAGTGATTCTCCTGCCTCAGCCTCCCGAGTAGCTGGGACTACAGGCGCCCGCCACCATGCCCAGCTAATTTTTGTATTTTTAGTAGAGACGGGGTTTCACCTGTTGGCCAGGATGGTCTCGATCTCTTGATCTCGTGATCCGCCCGACTCAGCCTCCCAAGGTGCTGGGATTACAGGCATGAGCCACCACAGCCAGCCACTTTTTCAATTGTTAATCTGTCTTTTCTTACAGGGGCTTCAGCCATGAATACTGTGATAAGTTAGAAAAAGATGTTACTGTTTATTCCCCCCTGTATTACCTTAACACATCATTATCATACAAAGTTCATAGTTTACACACTAAGGCTCAATCTTGGGGTTTTATATGCTATGGGCTTTGACAAATGTATCTGACACATATCCACCATTGTAGTATCACAAAGAATAGTTTCACTGCCCTAGAAATCCTCTGCGATATACTTATTCTTCTCTCTTTCCCTGATAATCCCTGGCAACCACTGTTTTTTGTTTTTGTTTTTATTTATTTTTGTTTTGAGACGGAGTTTTGCTCTTGTCACCTAGGCTGGAGTGCAGTGGCATGATCTCAGCTCACTGCAACCTCTGTCTCCTGGGTTCAAGCGATTCTCCTGCCTTAGCTCCCGAGTAGCTGGGATTACAGGTGCCCACCACCACTCCTGGCTAATTTTTGTATTTTTAGTAGATACAAGGTTTCGCCACGTTGGCCAGGCTGGTCTCGAACTCCTGACCTCAGGTGATTTGCCTGCCTCGGCCTCCCAAAGAGCTGGTCTTTTTTCTGTCTGCATAGTGTTACCATTTCTACAACATAATGTAGTTGGAATGGTGCAGTATGTAGCCTTTTCAGATGGCTTCTTCCATCTAGCAATATACATTTAACATTGACCATGTATGTTTTTAAGATAACATCTAAATTTTTTCATAAGTTTTAGTTATTTCAAAGCATACAACCTTTATGATATTATGATAGTGACATTTAAAAATGGTTATATTTATTAAAAGATAATTTTTAATGGGTAAAAGCATGACTCTCATACTGCTGTAAAAATAAGCACGTTATATTTTATTTTCCTTATTAATGAGGAAACTGAGAAGATGTTATAACCAGTTTAAAAGAGAATCCAGAGAACAGATATATTTGTAAATCAGGAATGTAGAAATGAATATGCAGATAGAGTCCAAACTCTTTCTCTACGAAGGAAGGAAGACTGTGTCTCCACTGAGCAGAATTCATTAGCATGTCTACAGAGAAAAACTATTTTACATTGCTCCTAGTTGTCTACAATGTAAAGAATTGTAAAATAGACAATTCTTAGTTTTTGCTATACAACATTTTTTAAATGCAACCAAAAGAATATAAAGCCAACAGCAATTTGATACACACCTTCATATATGTATACTTAAATATTCAAAATGTTATCTCCATTTGCAAGTTGTTTTTTAATATATAATTTTAGCTTGTAATATTTGATTTCATACTCCTCTCCAAAATATAAAGGTATTCAAACTAATTAATTTTTTTGTAGGATCATAGGCTTTAAGAGTTAACCATTGTGAGGGAGATTTAGTTAGCATTATAATACTCATTACTATATAATTGACAAAACATATATACACACACATGAAGTTTGAAAAAATAGTTATTAAGTACAAAAAGTAAAATTTTATTGACAATCCATCTCTCAGTGAGACAGACTGTGGGGGTGAGGTGTCTTACTAGTTCTCAACATCAACTCCACATGTATTTTGAAAGATTCTCTTCCTGTCACACCAGAAGGATCTTTCCCCCTTTGGAACAATACAATTAGAAAATTTAGGATGTGGGATGGATAAGATATCTGAATTTCTTTTGAAAATTTAGGATAAGGCAACTGTAACAGAGAAGGATCACAAGAGGAATCATGGGTGGATCAGTTTTAAAAAGGGATCTAGGCCAAGACTGGTGGCTCATGCCTGTAATCCCAGCACTTTGGGAGGCTGAAGCGGGTGGATCACGAGGTCAAGAGATCGAGACCATCCTGACTAACACGGTGAAACCCCGTCTCTACTAAAAATATAAAAAATTAGCCGGGAGTGGTGGCAGGTGCCTGTGGTCCCAGCTACTTGGGAGGCTGAGGCAGGAGAATGGCATGAACCCGGGAGGCGGAGCTTGCAGTGAGCCGAGATCGGGCCACTGCTCTGCAGCCTGGGCAACAGAGCAGGACTCCGTCTCAAGAAAAAAAAAGAAAAAAGAAAAGGAAAAAAAGAGATCCATAGAAAAAGCTGAGGATTCGGAAGTGAAACTTCTTTAAACTGTCCGTGCTTTATGTAGACTCAATAATTCATATATCTGGACTAAAGACTGCTGCCCTAAACTACCCTGCATCACCGTTACATAATTTCATCAGAGGCGTTCTCCTTCTCTTATATTTTCCCCCTTTCTTCCCTTTAGTTGTAATCCCTCTTCACAATGTGGTTATTCCTAATAAAAACAAAACAAAACTTCACTACCAAGACAATTCTGGAGTGTACCTAGATTATAGATTTTTCATATAGTAACCAGCTTTTATAATTTCACTTTGATTTAAAGCTGCCTAACTTGTTATCTTTGTCTAACAAGGCATTGGTCTTTAAATAATAGCAGGGTTAACAAGAACTATACTGATTGTCCACATTATGTCGGTCATTATACTGAGATATATAATTTGGTCCTCATACACTTTAATTTGGATTTTATAGATGGGAGTACCAAGGTTGGTTTAACAAAATAGTATTCCACGCCAGCCGGGAGCAGTGGCTCAAGCCTGTAATCCCAGCACTTTGGGAGGCCGAGGAGGGCAGATCACAAGGTCAGGAGGTCGAGACCATCCTGGCTAACACAGTGAAACCCCGTCTCTACTAAAAATAAAATTAAAAAAAAATTAGTCGGACTTGGTGGCAATCGCCTGTAGTCCCAGCTACTCGGGAGGCTGAGGCAGGAGAATGGCGTGAACCCGCTAGGCGGAGCTTGCGGTGAGCAGAGGTCACACCACTGCGTTCCAGCCTGGGCGACAGAAAGAGACCCCGTCTCAAAAATGAAAATAAGTAGTATTCTATGTCCAAGGGGTCACTCAACTAGTAAAAGAGGATTCAACATACACCCAGCTTCAAACTTTGTCCATCTAATCATTGCACCCTGCTGTTATTGTTCCTTGATTTCAAGTTGAAACTGTATTCTTCCACATTTTAGAGGCTCTAATACTCTCTGGATCACATTTGATACTTCTTTATCTTAAGTTTGAATAAATTCATTGTATATTGCGTTTTTCAAACTCCTCATCCGTAAAATACCTAATTTGGACAAGACTCTGATTCTGAGGTTCCCTTCCAGGACGAAAGCTCTATGGTTCTATAACTTCTTTAGTCAGTTACTTATTAGAAGTGTTTCAGATCAAACAATTATTAGAATAACAAAACCAGTCTGCTAGTCATTTCCTTTCAGGCTGACAAAAGCAGCTTCTCCAAGCTAAATACAGTTGTCATTTTATTCTGCCTCTTGCTTCTTGCCACTCCTTTCTCCTCTCAACTTTGTTAAAAGCTGCTTCCTTAAATTTTGTTTTTGTTACTGTTCCTGCCTCTTTACTGGTCACTGATTTGTAGAGTCAAGGAGACCTACCAACCAATTATTTTGAAAGTTGGCTCTAATACTTGTTTGCCTTTTCAGCAAAAGAAGGCTCATACTATTAGGGAAAATATTGGCTCCTCACAGGAGTTATTTCCTTATGAAATTTGGTTTTAAAAGAGAGAAAAACAACTCCAAAATATTTCTCTGACTCTTCTGCTGTGATACCTGAAATATTTGATATTAGCGTTCTCCCTTTACATGAAAGCACTGAGGTTTTGGTAAGATTCTTCTGAAATGCACACGTGGTAAATGCATGAAGGGCGAGGGAACAGGATGAGGAGGTAAAGAAGGGTAACCTATAATCACTTATTAAGTTATTAAAATGATTTTACTTAAATAACCACTTCCCACAATCATGGAGACCCTGAGGGAACAGGGCACCAACCAGATACATTTTGAAAGTTAAGATTGAAGAGTGCCTGACGAACTGAGGGGTACAGTAATGCTTGGGAGGCAGGGAAGAGCCTGAGGGCATTCTGGTGAAATGATAAATGGAACTGGGAACTTTGCCTACTTAACAATTTTGCCCAAGGCCAGCCTATCTATGGAGGTCATCTTCTTCAACCCCAGACCTGCAGACTTGATTGCATCGAAACCGCATAGGACAGTTGGGTTCCTATTCAATACAAAAATATCTACAGTGAAGGAGATCCAGTAACCTTGGCCTAGAGAAAATTTATCACAAACTGTTTACTCCACGTTTCTGAAAGCATAAATACCCAAAGCTAGGCAATAATGACAACTCTTTTTAAACGATGCTACTGCCACTCTCTGAGATGACCCAGGCGCTGCACAAGCAATAAAAACACAATACACTTGCTCCCTTGCAAATTAAGCTGTGAAGATCTGCCTCAAACCTTCCAAAGAGATTTTTCAATGAAAGAGGAAGTGTCTGCATATTCAGCCCTGTGGTACACTAACAGCACCAAGATTTCTAATTAAAAAACCTGTTCTTACTAAAATAACCCTCAGGCACACACATCTGCAGCAGAAACCCCCACCGATAACTGAATTTCGGCTCTTTTAGAAGGGTAAGACCTTAGTAGAGGCATTGGGTAACAGATAAGAATTTGGAGAAACATTGCACAGGAGAGGTACATAAGTCTAAGCCTCTCTAATTTTCTAATGGTGGCTATGTCAGAATACCTCAGTACTTAGTCAAAAACAGTGCATTAGAAACTGAAATGGGGAACGATTACGATTTATTATACCCACCATCTCATCTTGCTAGGGTGCATAAACTATTCCTAAAAGGCAGAAAACAGTACAAAAATATATCATCAAGAAATGTGTTCTTCCGCCTTTAACAATGCTTGCTGGCTGGGGCTCACCTAACAGCAGTCTTGTTTATTAGAAGCTGCTTTATTCCCACATGAGGAGCAATAATGTTAACATGGGTGGCAAGATACTAAACTTAAAATATGCACCGGCATGCAGAATTAAAGCAGAGATGCAAGTCCTCATTGCTCTATTCACCTATGGAGGAAAATATTAGCACGCTACTTTAATTGCATTTTTCTATGATCAATTTTTGTAAGTAAATCATGCAACTCTAAAATATCACCATAGGAAGTCAACATACATGCATGCAGCATTAGAAATCCTTTCATGCTCTTTTATGGTTAAAGAGGGGGATATAGATTAGGGATAGAGATTACTTGATTTTCATTTGTCAGATTTTTCTTCTTTTTAAAACAGACATGCAAGTCAATCATTGTAAGGTGATTCCTTTTTAAACCTAATCCCACATTCATACAGCAAGCCTTAATGAGTCCACTAGGAGTAAACAAATTAGTCTCCAGGATGTATTATGCATTAATTAATCAAACTAATAGTATTGTACAATGTACAATAGATGAAAATTAGGTCCAAGTACAATACTCACATTCAAGAAGCGAACTGGAGAAAAATATGGAGTAATAAAGAAAAATCAGTTTCTACAAATACAAGTTAAATAGCTCTGCTTTCCCTCCCTACATTTCAGGCCCTTCAAAGACAAACAGAGTATTAAAAGGTGGCCTTTACAGCTGAGGTATCTATGTGATATAAAAGCTGTGAGGAGGAAAAAAAGCAGCTTTGAATAATAATACCTGCAGGTCCTAGAGGTAGGGTCAGCAAACTATGGTCTGCTACTAGATTTGTATGACTCAGGAGCAAATAAGCGTTTCTACATTTCAAATGGTTGAGAAACATCAAAAGAACGTTTCTTGACACATAAAAATTACAGGAAATTCCAATTTCAAAGTCTACAAATAAAGTTTTATTGGGACATAGTCGCATATGTTCTTTATATATTGTCGTAGTTGCTCTTACAGTACAATAGCTGGTTAAGTAGTTGTGACAGAGAACTCCTGGCCTTCAAACTCAAATATGTTAACTCTCTGGCTCTTTACAGGAAAAGTTTGCCAACCCTAGTCCAGAGAAAACAAAAATCCTCAGCAGTGATCGCACTGGTACATACGTGGTGTAAGGATGCATTTTAAACATGGGAGGAGAAGGCAGATCCCATCTCATGTAATACGCTAGAAAGAATAAAACTGGGTGTGGTGGTCAGGACCTGTAATTCCAGCTACTTGGGAGGCTGAGGCTGGACAATTGCTTGAACCTGGGAGATGGAGATTGCAGTGAGCCAAGACTGCACCATTGCACTTCACCCTGGGCAACAAGAGCAAAACTCCATCTCAAAATAAATAAATAAATAAATAAATAAATAAATAAATAAATAAATAAAAGAAATAGAAAGAATAAAACATCACTTTTTGCTCCACCTGCCAAATTCTTCAGTCTAACTCTGAGAAAAAAAATCAGACAAACCCAAATGGAGGGAAAATATACGAATGTGCCCACCTGTACTTTAAGGAAAAGCCAAGCTCACGAAAGACAAAGGCAGTCTGAAAAACAGGTCCAGACTGAAGGTCACCAGAGAGACAGGACAACCAAATTCAGCTTGTGGCCTCGGATTGGAATGTGGACCATACCTTTAAAGAATTTTTTGGCCACAAAGGGTATTATTGCAACAGTTGGGTAAAATTTAAATAAGCATTAGAGATAATATAGTATTGTCCCAAAGATCTGGTTTTGATCATTGTAATAGGGTTATATAGGAGGATATCATTCCTCTTAGGAAACACACACAGAAGTATTTGACACTTCGTAGATACTATATTTTTTACAAACTGAAGATAAAAGGGCTCTAAGTGTATCATTAGCCTCAAGTGTTTTAGTGAAAAAATATGTGTGTTTATGTGTAAGCAGTATAAATGTATGTAGACATATATACTATGTGTATATATAGAGAGAAGAAGAATATGCAAATTTGGCAAAATTATAGTGGAAAAATCTGGGTAGAAGATATAATGGTTCGTACATTTCTTACAACTTTTCTGTAAGTCTGAAATTATGTAAATGTAGAAAGTTTTAAAAAATGGGAGAAGAGCACTTCTAATTGCTCCTCCATCCTCATGAACGTGAACCCCACGGGGCCATTTCTCCATCTCCTGTTTATTAGTAATACTTGGGTTCTGAGTTCTAAATTGGTAAGGTGACTTTGTACCATATCAACATAACCAATCTGGAATTGCCTTTCCCAGGTGTCCCCTCCTGCAGGGTTCAGAGTCAGTGCTGCACACAAGGAATTCATACAAGATGTTGGAAGTTAGAAGGGAAGTAGCAGCTCTTATATCTGCCCTGAAAGTCAGTGCCAAGTGCAGGAACTGTGGCAGCTCACATGCTCTTACTGAGCCGGTAGCTCACCTTGTTGGCGTGAGACATCAACCAGACCCACAGGGGCTCCAGCTCCCACCATACCTCCTCCTGCAGCTTCTCCTAGTCCTGGGCCAATGTGTGTACAACCTCATGGTGAAGACTAGAGAAAAAGCTACTACTGCTGGTCACCATGGCAGCAGCTGCTGGCCATGAGAGATAGATGTGGACTCGTTTGTCCTTGCTCTTATCCATATCCCACTCTCCTTTACTGTCTCCACCTGCTCACAAGAGTTGTACAAGGTCTAATCTATTTTATTTTATTTTTTGAGATGCAGTTTCACTCTTGTTGCCCAGGCTGGAGTGCAACCTCCACCTCCCAGGTTCAAGAGATTCTCCTGCCTCAGCATCCCAAGTAACTGGGATTACAGGTGCCTGCCACCACGCCCAGCTGACTTTTTTTGTATTTTTAGTAGAGATGGGGTTTCACCAAGTTGGCCAGGCTGGTCTCAAACTCCTGACCTCAGATGATCCACCTGTCTTGGCCTCCCAGAGTGCTGGATTACAGGTATGAGCCATCACACCAGGCCTAATCTCTGTTTTAAAAGAAACCTTATTCTAGGGCTGTGTGTGGTGGCTTGGGCCTGTAATCCCAGCACTTTGCAAAGTTGAGGCAGGCAGATCACTTGAGGCCAGGAGTTGAAGACCAATCTGGCCAACATGACAAAACGCTGTCTCTACTAAGAAAAAAAAACAAAACGAAAAATTAGCCAGACATGGTAGCATGAACCTCTAATCCCAGTTATTCAGGAGGCTGAGGCATGAGAGTTGCTTGAACCCGGGAGGTGGAATTTGCAGTGCGCCAAGATCGCACCACTGTATTCCAGCTTGTGCGAGAGAGCAAGAACCTGTCTCAAAAAACAAAACAAAACAAAACAGAACCCTTATTCTATATCACCTTAGTGGTACTGTTTCTTTGGTCAAACATTGGCTCATACCCTTAGTTTCCTGAAATATGGCAAAAGTCACGTAAGCAGTCTCTTCATCTGTCCATCTCAACTCAAGCCTCGCATCATTACTTTATCCCTTCAAAGCATCTTATTACCTAGAACACCCAGGAGAGTGTACTGAGAACTGCATAATAAAAAAAGTGAATAAAATCCCCATTTGTTGTGTGCTTATATAGGCATACCTCATTTTATTGCACTTCACTTTATAGCACTTCATAGATACTGTTATTTTTTACACTGAATATTTGTGGCAACCTTGCATCGAGCAAATCCATAGGCATCATTTTTTCCAACAATGTGATCACTTGGGTCTCTGTTACACTTTTGTAATTTTTGCAATCCTTCAAGTTTTTCATTATTATTATATCTGTTATGGGGATCTGTGATCAGTGATCTTTGTGGTTACCATTGTGACTGTTTTGTGGATACCATGAACCGGACTCAGATAAGACAGTGAACTTAATTGATGAATGTTGTGTGTGTTCTGACTGATTCATTGACTGGCCATTCACCCATCTCTCTCCTTCTCAGCCCTTGCTATTTTCTGAGACATAATAATATTGAAATTAGGCCAATTAATAATCCTACCATGACTTCTAAGGGTTCAAGTGAAAGAAAGATTCTCAAATCTCTTCAAATCAAAAAACTAGAAATGATTAAGCTTAGCAAGGAAGGCATGTTGAAAACTGAGACAGGCTGAACACCAGGCCCATGAGCCAAACAGTTAGGGAAAAGTTCTTGAAGGAGATCAAAAGTACTACTCCGGTGAACACATGAATGATGAAAAAGCAAAACAGCCTTATTGCTGATAAGGAATTTGAGGGGTCTGGATAGAGCAAACCAGACACGACATTTCCTTAAGCCAAAGCCTACTCCAAAGCCAGGCCCTAACGCTCTTCAATTCAATGAAGCCTGATAAGGAACCTGCAGAAGAAAAGTTTGAAGCTAGCAGAGGCTGATTCACAAGGTTTAAGGAAAGAAGCTGTCTCCATAACATAAAAGTACAAGGTGAAGGAGCAAGTGCTGATGTAGAAGCTGCACAAGTTATCCAGAAGATCTAGCTAAGATAACTGGTGAAGGGGGCCTACATGAAACAACAGATTTTCCATGTAGATTAAACAGCTTTAAATTGGAAGGAGATGCCATCTAGGACTTTCATAGCTAGAGAGGAGAAGTCCATGACTGGCTCCAAAGCTTCAAAGGACAGGCTGACTCTTGTTAGAGGCTAATGCGGCTGGTGACTTGAAGTTGAAGCCAATGCTTATGCAACATTCTGAAAGTCCTAGGACCCTTAAGAGTTATACAATCATTCTGCTTCTGCTCTATAAATGGAACAATAAAGTCTGGATGGCAGCACATCTGTTTATAAAACAGCTTACTGAATATTTTAAACCTGCTATTGAGACCTACTGCTCAGAAAAAAAGATTACTTTCAAAATATTACTGCTTGTTGACAAGGCAACTATTCACCCAAGAGCTCTGATGGAGATATAGAAGGAGATTAATGTTGTTTTCATGCCTGCTAACACAAAATCCATTCTGCAGCCCATGGTTCAAGGAGTAATTTTGACTTTCAAGACTTATTATTTAAGAAATACATTTTGAAAGGCTATAGCTATCATAACTAGTGATTCTTCTGATCACTCTGATTCTGGGAAAAGAAAATTGAAAACCTTCTGGAAAGGATTTACCATTATGGATCCCTTTAAGAACATTTATGATTCATGGGAGGAAGTCAAAATATCAACATTAAGAGGTTGGAAGAAGTTGATTCTGACCCTCATGGATGAATCTGAGGGTTCCAGACTTCAGTGGAGAAAGTAACAGCAGATGTGGTGGAAACAGCAAGAGAACTAGAATTAGAAGGAAAACCTAAAGATGTGGCTGAATTGCTGTAATCTCATGATACAATATGAACAAATGAGGAATTGCTTCTTATAAATGAGCAAATAAAATGGTTTTTTGGGATGGAATCTACTGCTGGTAAACATCCTCTGAACATTGTTGAAATGACAACAAGGGATTTCAAATATTACATAACTTAGTTGATAAAGCAGCAGCGGGATTTGAGAGGATTGAGTAGCCCAGTCTTGAAAGAAGTTCTGTTGTTGGTAAGAGGTTATCAAATAGCCTGGCATGCTACACAGAAATCTTTCTTGAAAGGAAGAGTCAATTAATGTGGCAAGCTTCATTATTGTCTTATTTTAGGAAATTGCCGCAGACATGTCAAACTTCAGCAACTACCACCCTGATCAGTCAGTAGCTATCAATATCAAGGTAAGACCAGCAAAAAGCTTACAAATCACTGAAGGCTTAGATCATCATGGAGAATTTTTAGAAATTTTTAATTAAAGTATGTGCATTATTTTTCAGGTATAATGCCACTGCACACTTAATAGACTACAATATGATATAAATTTTATATGCATTGGAAAACCACAAAAAAATTCATATGACTTTCTCGTGATACTCTCTTTATTATGGTGGTCCAGAACGAAATCTATAATATATTTGAGGAATGCCTGTTTGTGAAAAAAATTTTGTGGCATATATTATCTCTAGAAGCCCCTAATACCCCACATGCTGGTTATCATCCCTATTTCTATAGATAAGAAACTGAGGGTCAGAGAGGTGAAGTCAATTGTCCATCTCACAGATAAGTAATGATGAAGCTAGAACTCAAATGCAGTTCTGTCAAAATTTCAAGTTCCTATATTTTAATTGCACCAAGCTGCCATCTTAGGAAAAAGAAGTAGCCCTTGCATCCTCCAGAGGGTATCTGCTTTGTGACTGCCCAGAAATTAATTTAATCCCAATATTTCATTCTTGCTTATTTACATCATAGGAGTTATATATTGGAAGAGATACAGCAACTGGATATATATTTTCACTTTAAGGCAGTCCTTCTGTCCTAGAAAACAAAATACCAATAATTCTTGATTTATACAATAAGAAATATCACAAAACCCTCCACAGAAGAACTATTTAGTTGGTCTCAACATATAGATGGTTTTATTAATTTTTTTGATCTGTAGAATATTTTACTATTCTACAAACATTTTACTGAATTCAACACTTTTTTTGATGTATTTCTACATCTATGATCTCATTTAAGCATTATAATAATGAGCCTGGAAAATATATAAAATTTGTATTATTTGTGCTTGTTCTACAGACACAGAGATTAAATCTTAAAAGATTACATAAATTATCTCAAGTGGAATCTGTTCTTTTAAATCTACCTAGTTTCCTTTCTCCTTTAATCTTATAAGAGCACCCAGATTTTGCTTGAAGACTACCCTCTTATCGTTTGCCTAGGGCTGGCTCCATCCATCATAACTAGCAATAGAGATATTATCCAGGCCTGGAAAATCATCATGTACCATGCACTTAATCACAATGATGTGTTTAAAATGGGCATGTAACCCAGGCCAGTTTATTCAGGGCTAATCCCAGAAGGAAGACAATGAAGGAAGCACTCTCTTTCCTAGAACTTGGAGAAAAAAAAAAAGTCTCTAGTTGCATAGGTCAACACAGAGTCAAGATGAAGAGAGAGATGATTTCATATTACTTGAACAACAGGATCCAGCTACACTTAAAGCAAGTATCTTGGAATTTCTCCATTTACATTTAAAATAGATTGTTTCTCTCTCTCTCTGTCTTGCTCTCCCTCACCCTATCTCTCTCCCCTCCTCTCTTTTTATACTATGCTTTGCAATTAAAAGTCATAAATAATACACACTCAGTTAAGTTTCAAGTCATAGCTGCAGAATGTGGAATTGGGTTTACTAATACTCAGCATATAAACCTTTCTTTACTAAGCAAGCTCTTCAGTAAATAACACTTTTGTTTCTCCTTTGGCTGGGATCTACTTCCAGTCTAAGCATTCATGCCTATATTGCTTCACTAGAGAATGTTCTCACTTGAATATCTTGTGGCAGAATTAATGCTTGTGGAACCTGACATTTTTTAAGCCGTATAATGCATATGCAGTATAAAGGATACCAATAAGGCAAGATAGATTTGAATGCTATATTTCTGTTGAAGAAATCCGGTTGGTTTATGTTATAATCAAAGCCCAGAGATTGAATTATAACACCAGTCATCAAGTCTCCCTTAATCAATTAAATTCACTATGTTTAGGGAAGATTTATAAGCAAAAACAAGCATTTCTGAATTGTTTCTGTGTGGGATTTTCTTCTGCTTTTTTTGTTCTTTTAAACTAGAGACTAGTAAATCCCATACAGTACTATGGCAAGAATTTACTACATTATGATGAGAAAGAACTGAGAACATTTTTGTCTGAATGATGAAGGAGTAGGCAATATGTAATTTATAGCAAAATAAAACTGATACTGCATTATGCTATAAAACCATCAATTGGATTATCACGGAATAAGCTGTGCAATATTTACTTGCATGTAACTGAAATGTTGAACAAGAAAGATGTACAGAATGCAATCAGAAAACAACTTTATTTCACTCCTCATTGCTTGTTCATGTCCTCTTCATGCAACCCGTTCTTCCTCTGTACCTAGAAAAACTCTTGGGTAGATCACATAGCTTAGCTCCTTAAACCTTACCCAGTACACCAGTCTTCAGTCAATCTCAAGCATAAAAATCATCTCCTTTTCATAATTATGTCGTTCATTGTGTTGTATTGATCAAAAATTCAGAAAGTCATTCAAAGTTAAAAGCTTCTCCTTGTGAGCCCCTCCTCCAACCTGCTCAGTGCTTCTTCCAGAGAATCCTTTCTCTCAGATCCACTCCCCTTTACTCCTAGGAGATGTCATCAATGTTCCTCTTACTTGGTGATGCCTCTCCTCCAGCTGGCTGTTTATCACTCCTCCTTAGTTCTACACCTCCCCATGTGCCCCCAGCCTCTTCTGCTCGTCACTTGCCACTGGGCAGATGTTCTCATGAAAGCAGCCTTAAGTCAACATTCCTACTGTGGAATGCCAATTAGTTACCTTTGACTTGCCTTTCAGGAGAAGGCGCCTGCTTCCAAATGCAGTCCTGTTCTCTGCTGGCATGAGACATTTCGGACAGCTTCTGCTGTAGCCTTTTTGTCCAGGCTTGGACCATATCATTAATTCCAGGATTTCCATTTCTTGGGTCTACATGAGTCTCCTTGCAGCCTTTCTAACTAGGTTTGAGGTGAAAAGAAAATCATCAATCCACCCTCCGTCATCAGTAAGTCTTTCAAGAAATTCTTTCATTGCCAACCATTGGCCCCTCCAAATTAAAAGTTTTTATAAGATTGGCAAAACTAGCTCGAGTCATTTCTTTCTTTGTAAGTCCTGTTTGTATGGTCTACCTCCTCCTTTCAGGATTTGGAGAGCTGTTAATTTACTTTCTTAGAACTTTGCCTAAACTTGAATCACATTAGCCCATTTATGTGAATCTTTTCCACTCAAAGCAGTTTCACTAAATATCACAGCATTTTCCATTCTAAAAATTATATTTTATAGTTAAGTCAACCTATAGTTTTCTATGCATGGAAAATTAGGAATAACTGAAGAATTTTTGTTGTACTTGTATAAGTTTAATGTTTAGAATTAGTTTTAAATCAACTAATCTGTTTGCCAACTGCAGCTGAGTAGAATTATGTAACTCTGAAGAAATGAATGAACTAATCAGTAGCAGAATGTGAGGAAATTTCCCATAAGAACAATTCCCATGAAATATGTGCCTCCCAGTATGGAGGCACTCTGCCACTAACCCCAGGAGAGTAGATCTTGAAAAAGTTCCTTTTGTTTTTCCTTGACTGTATGTAAGCTAAAAAGTTTGTTTAGATTTTAGTTTTAGGGATAAGGACATCCCAGGGGACTCCTGGTTACTGTATCAAAAAGAACGTCAACACACCTAGTTACAACAGCACAGTGGTTGTAATCAGGGATGGTTTTGTGCCCCCTCCCCCAGGGGAGACAGTTGGCAATATCTGGAAATATTTTTGGTTATCATAACTGGGGGAGAGGGAGCGCTATTTGCATCTAGTGGGTAGAGGCCAGGGATATTTCTAAATATTCTACAATGCAAAGGACAGTCCCCACAAGAAAGAATTCTCTGGTCTAAAATGTCAACTATGTTGTGATTGAGAAACTCTGCTTTACATGAAGAACAATGTCATAAATGATCAAGAAAGGATAATGAATATTAAAAAACGGTAGTTTTCAACCCAAAACTTGTTAACCACCTTCTTTTCCTTTATTCATTCTATTCGGAAAGAACTTTACAGATTGTGAGCTGATCTCTTAATAAGGAAGTTAATTCAAGGGAGTCTTGAGCTCTCTCCAACCAATCAGTTTTAAAGTAGAACCCTAGGACGGTGATCGTCAAAATGTTTTATTATGTATTCTCCGAACAAATTTTGAAAAATCACATATGTCTTTACACATTTTAAATTTGATATCTACATTTTAAATTATCATTTGTTCAAAGAGTAACAAGTTATGAGATTCCCAGCAGTGAGGTATATTACACATGTTCTTCAAATATAGATTTTGTCAAAAGTTTACAGCTTCAGATTCAGTTCATTCAACTTACAGAAACTGCCAACTGAAGAAGCTAATTGGCAAAGCTAACTCTCATTGTCAAACCAGTACTTCACATCAAATGTACCTTCAATCAGAAAATATGTCTGACTTCAGTTTTTAATTAAAGAAAATGATAATGTGCATCCCTATGATAACTATCTCACTTATTAATTTTCATTTAAACTAAGTTGAAAAAGGGGAGGAAGGCAGTTCCCTTACCACTAGAACATAAGCTCTGAAAGGGCAGGGATTTTTATCTGTTGCTCACTGATATGTTTTCCACACAATAAGAACATAGTAGGTGCTTAATATTTGAAGTATTTTGTGAATACTGGATGGAAAAGAAGATGACAGATAATACATGATAGACAGACAGATGTAAATAAACACTGAACTCCACCATGAGTGTGTAGGCAGGATAAAATGAAATCTCTCGTCGCCTCATGGAATCTGTCTTTTCAAATTATCCCTAGAAGTCTTTTCAACCTGGGGCAATACATCATATACTGAGATTTCAACTGCATGAGTCTACCTTTTTTTTTCTAGTACAGTAAGAAATGAACACTGTTGAAGGGGAGCTGGGGAAAAAAACTGATAGGTGACAGACAGGTACTCAACAAGGCAGTTTTGGAAAGAAGAACATCTAAGGAAATTAATAGCTAGAAAGCCGTGCATGCCTATTGTCTCAGTATGTTTTCTGCTACTATCACAGAATGGGTAATTTATAATGAATAGAAATTTATTTCTTACAGTTCTAGAGGCTGGGAAGTCCAAAATCAAGGTGCCAGCAGGTTAGGGCCCAATCTCTCTTCTTCTACCATAGCACCTTGAACACTGCCTCCTGTGTTCAAGAGGAATGGAGGAAGGAATGCTATGTCCTCACCTGGCAGAAGGGTAGAAGATAGAGAACATGCTCCTGCAAACCCTTTTTATGGTGGCATTAATGCACTCATAAGGGCAGATCCCTCATGACCTAAACACCTCCATGTAGGCCCCACCTCCCAACAATGTTGCATTGGGGATTAAGTTTCCAATACATGAATTTTCAGAGACACATGCAAACCATACCACCCATGTAATGTTTGGACAATCTTCTTGGGCCACCAATTTTGAGACAAGTCCACCAAGGATTGGGGAATACATTAATAAGAAAAGCAAAGCAGGCCAATGGGCCTGGAGAGCAAAAGTTGGGGTTTGAATTCAGGACTGGGCCAGATCTGTGATCTAATGAGAAGACAATCTGTAGTCATAAAGGCACAAGTAGGATATGCCTATAGAACAGAGAGCTTAATATGATTGTGCATGCAAGATGGAGTGAGGTATATATTGGGAAAAGCAGCCTCATTCACATAATTTTTTGACCCCTTCTCAGATGCATTAAGAATGGGCCTTGGCCAGGCATAGTGGCTCACACCAGTGGATCCCAGCACTTTGTGAGGCTGAGGCAGAAGGATCCTGGGAGGAGTTTGAGGTGAGCCTGGGCAACATAGTGAAACCCTGTCTCATATTTTTTTAAAAAAGTAAAAATTAAAATAAAAAAATGAATGGGTCTTAATCTGGAGCGCTTCCTCATCGAGAGATAGAGTTCTCATGGTCTGTGCTAGGCTTAAATTAAACCTTGTATTGAAATACCTTTCCCTATTCCAGATTCAATGTGTACTCCTTTGTTCTGCTTAAGTGTGTACATTATATGGCACCTTGCCAATACCATTACTATATCTGTCCCCTTTTGGGAGGGCAGGTCCTGCTGCAGCAGTACAAGGGGGTACCTGGCATCGGCTCCTGGGAGGGACCCACTGGGCTTAGGGGACCGATGCCCATTACTGAAGCTGATCTCGCTCAGTTTCTTCTCCATGTGAGTAAAAACATTGTTCCATCCAGTGCTTCACCGTGTTGTTTTCTTTGATGACTCTGATACCAAGACGCAGTGGACAGAAATGATCAGATTTCTATTCCTGATAATAGGCAACACACACCACTTGCTCAGCAGTAGAACGTCACCTTACATGTTTTGTCTTTTCCTTAAAGAATTTGTCTTTCCTTGACATTCTATTAAAGATTTATTTGCTTATCTGTTCTTTATCACTAAGTAATGTGAAAGTGGACATTTTGTCAGTTTTTTTTCCCAGCTATATCCCCAGTGCCTGAGAAAGTGACAGGGACATAGAAGGTGCTCAATCAATATGCATTCAGTCATATTACTCAACATAATACCTTGGAAATACTTGTAGACCAGGCTTGAGGAAGTAGAATGAGCCTCTGCCTAGCCCAGCTGGGCCTGGGGCTTGTTTGAATACCCTGGAGTTTCTATTTCTTTACTTTCTACATTAGAAGATGGGAGCTGACATTTGCTAAGATCCACTCCAGTTCTGTCTTCTGTTTTTCACCATGGATGGTTATCTGAAGAGGTTCACAGGTGTTCATGTGTATGTGTTTCGCTGTGTGAATGCACATGCTTATATTTGTGTGTGTGTGGGTTTTCTGAAGGGGAAAATTCAGAAAAAGAGGAGAACATGAATTTTTAAAATTAAAATGGTGTTAGAGGCATTAAGGGTTGAAGACAGAAGGCAAAAATAAATAGTGTAGGTAAAATGCGTGACTTGGTTAGGCAGAAGAGGGAAGATCTGTTATAAAGAGAAACAGAGGTTGGGAGACCTTGTAAAAGTAGGAGCTTCTGCAGAGTGGGAATATGGAAGACCTCCATATTCTACAGCTTTTATATCACTATTATTAATGTTATTTTGAGTACATGATTACCCTCTGATAATAACAATGTTTAAAATATCTTCACCAAGAAGTCTTATTTTAGAAAAAAATATATGTAATTTTTACCCTTTGTGTTTTCAGAGGAAGAGGAGCTATTTTTTGAGAAGTATCATTGAATGTAAAAGCAGATTTGTTTAAGTCATTTTAAATGTTAAAAAGCAATAAATGCCATAAATTAATCTTTGTGGGGAAGACAGTTCGTAAAAACAGAAATGATCGTGGACAAAATAACACCAAAATCTTCAGGAATCCTGGAAACTATCTTGGTACTTGGTGCCACACGTAATTGCTACTAACAGTTCTACTAAATATTGGCAATTATATTTCAGTGATATATAAACATTGTGTCACTTAATTCTTTTAGTAAGTCCATGACATAGGCACCGTTGGTTTCCTTATTAAGTAGGTAAAGAAACTGAAGCTTGGGAAAGGTCAATTAACTCCTAAGGTCATACATCCTAGTAAGATCCACTCAGAGCACTTGAGAGATGCTGTGTTAGTTCATTCTGCATTGCTATAAAGGAATACCTGAGACCAGGTAATTTATAACAAAAAGAGATTTCTTTGGCCCATGATTCTGCAGGCTGTACAAGAAACACAATGCTGGCATCTGCTTCTTGTGAGAACCTCAGGAAGCTTAAAATCATGGCAGAAGTCCATGTAGGTAACATGGTGAGAAAGGGCATGAGAGAGGGGGAGAGGGTGCCAGACTCTTTTAAACCACCAGGTCTTGTGTGATCTTATAGAGTGAGAAGTCACTCATTACCGTGAGGACAGCATTAAGCCATTCATGAGGGATCCATCCCCATGACCCAACCAACCCCCCAACTCCCTCCACAGGACCACCTCCAACATTGCAGGTCATATTTTAATATGAGATTTGGAGGGAACAAAACATCCAAACCATATCAGATGCCTTTTATGTAAAGTTATATCTAAACACTTAACCAAACTCATTATAATTTGTCATAGGATTTGCTGTCTAGACATAGCAAACTTCCTCTTGGAAGATCTTATTTCGTGTGCCAAAAAATCAAGAATGGTTTAAGCCAGGCAAACTCTTTGATTGAAAGTAAATTATAACCATTGTTTGCCTGCTCACTTTTGCTTTTAATGTACATGTGTGCTAGATTGCAGAGATGAAAGCCTTGTCAGTCACAGGTACACTTAAAAAATCAATACAAAAGCAAAAAGAAGTTTGATAAAGATTCTACAGTAGTAACATGAGCTGGCCCCAAACGTCTATTTTCTATTCATTTGCTTTTCAAAAGTTTGAAAGTTGCTTGTTAACTGTGTGGTATTTTAATATAAGATTTTAAGGTGTTTCTTATTTCTAAGTAACATGATGGAGTTGAGTATTTTCTTTTATTGAGATGTCAGTAGGAAAAAGTGTATTTTTTATATTTGTTGAGATGTCAGTAGGAAACAACATAATCATGATATCTACTAACATTTAGGTATCATTTATTCTATTAATTGTGCTCACATTTTATTCATTAAAGGACACACATAGACACAATTGTTACAGAACCTTAATAATGTTTTATGTTTGGTTAGTTAACGTTATCTTTCCCACTCCATGATTTTACCTTCTTTTCCCTAACATGGAGAGGTTTCATTTGGGTAGTCTTCTGTCTGCTTAATACAGATGTGAAAACATTATATGGGGAGGAAGCTATACAGCTATTTTCTACAGAATTCTAGCAAAGTACTTGGCTTCTGTTGTGTACAAGCTTAATAAATGCTGAAACTCATGTGGCTCAATTTCTTTATGGAGTACACTCTACCAGATAGTTAAACCCTAAATTTAATTTGCATCTCAAAGAACACTGAAGTCTTCTATCAGTATTTCCAGAAACCCTTCCCTCCAATTTCTACTTCTTTCTTATCCTACATCTGCTTTAAAGTCTTTCAAACCCTGAATTCTCAAAACCCTCTTCTCTCAACCAAAGGCTGCTGACATTTTTTTCTTCTCTCTTTTCCCTCCTTGGTAAATAAAATTTATCTTTTCAGATTTATCTGCCTTCTCTCTGCTCATGCTTCTGAAGTCCTGCCTAAATGCCCCGTATTCTCCTAAGTTTGCATCACAAACTGGAAACACACTGGCAAACACTTTGCCTTATGTGGAGGGTTAGGGCAGCAAGAGGAGAGGGTAAGACAGATGATCATCAAGCAACAGTACATCCTATAACCCTGCACCACTGATAAGTGCAGGGGGGCCCAAACTTCCCCATAAGTTACTCTTGATCTTGCAGCAGCAATGAATGCCCAGCCTCCAGCTCTTCCATACCTCCCTGAACCAGTCTCAGTGTGTCTCCTCAGATATACCAGCACTATCTAGGCAGAATCCATTCCTTAAAGATGTGACTCAGCTCTGTAGGGTCCTGAAGAAATAGCACCAAGTGGATATCCATGCCCCTTCGCACGTCTGAATACCAGTTTTTCAGAGTCCCACTTCCAATCTCCCCATTTCTGATAACCCTAGCCACTTTCTTGGTCCCCCCATTTCAGAAGGCAGTAGCTATCTCCTGCCATTACTATCTTTGGGTTGCCTCAGTGGCCCTTTTGTGATGATTTGGTTAACACCTGCACAGTCAATTCTTCATACTTAATTTCTTCTGTAGAAATACACACCTAGGGTAGTTTCTGCTTGCTTCACTGGAGCTGGATTAACACAGGGCTAGAGTGTGCTGATAGTATAAATCCCATGACTATGACCCATTAAAGATTCATACTATATATATACTGTATATGCTGATTTGGAAATTCAAGGCAGAATCTGGGAAATTACTGAGGAGAAGGGTCACACAACCCTGAGTTCAGATGAAGGTAGTTTTTATTATTAAGATTTACTATATATTTCTCAATATATGTTTGATTATATATTTGATATATATCTCAATTTACTGTATATTTATATATCTTAAGGGTGTTCCTAAAAGATAATATTGTACTATAATTTAGTAAATAATACTTACATATTCTTGAAATACATCAAGTTTTATGCAAAAACATGTAATGTGTCTATAGGTCTCTGTAATTGAGTTTTAAAGAGAGGGTAAAAAATGTCTTCATATGTCTGCATTTCACAGAGGACCACTAATATTTGAGACAATTGCAAATTTACTTATCAACTCTGTAATGGCTAAAACTATATTGTTTTGCCCTTTGTCTCTAAGAAAACAAATACTTTTCTGGCTAATGCTTTTTTCTGGTTAATGCTTCTCCTTTTACAAGTGTTTTGCTAATATGATACTTTATGTTTGAATAGAGTCTTATTACATACAAAGTATATTTATATCTATTACCATCCATAATTCATACCACACATTTATAAATCAGGTATTTCTTCCATTTTATTTTAGAGAACTTAACACTCAGAAAGATTCAAGAATTTACTCAAGTCTCTAGATTCAGAGGTGGAACTGGACATGCTATCTCAGAACTCTCCATCCAAGTACTACTTTGCTTTGTTCCACTGTTTGTTAACTTGATTCTTCCATAGGAAGTATGTTGTCAAATATGGGAATCTCATGATGGCCCAGCTATGCTGAAAATCCCCACATTTACAATATTTTTAAAACATGACCACACTTATTATATAGCTTATTTTGTAAAAACTGCATTTAAGAGGTTTATCAGAGATAGGATTTTAAGAAACCAAATGGAAGGGATAATTACCTTCAGGGGTATTTTATTATTAAAAGGTATAATGAGAGGTACTATGAGAGCAGATTAAACTATTAGGGAACCTGCCACAACTGACTTAGTAATTTGAAAGATCATTTATCATTTTCTATCATGATTTTCAGTTCACTTTTCTGGGCAATTTTTCAAAATACTCCAGAAATTCTCTCTTTTTTGATTACTAAATATGTAAATCGTTCTTATTTATATGTAGAGAAAATAAAAGTACATTTGATGATTAATCTAGTTACACATATGCCCTTTGTATTTATAACAACATCCTTACAATTCATCATCATAAAGCTATTGGATACTTAATTCTTATCTGTTCCTGTGACCTGAGTTTAATTTTCTCTTGGCCTTTTTTAACTTGCTAAAAAATAATTGTAATCTACTAGCAAATCTTGACCAAAAAGTGAAAACTGAAAATATATAATTTTAATCTATTGATAACGACTTACATATATTTTTAATGTCTATACATACACACAGGTTTTGACAGAAGCTGCTATTTTCCCACTCAGTACCAATTTCCTGCTGCTCCCATATTGGAGAGTGCCTATATTGCTAGAAATAGCAATATATCTGGCTAAAAATTATATTTCCAACCCTCCTCTCCAGACAGAGGTAGCCAGTGATGTGTAAATAATAGCTACTGTGTAGAGCTTCCTGAAATGGGCTCTTTTTTGTTTTTTAAATTTTTTTGAGATGGAGCTTTGCTGTCACCCAGGCTGGAATGCAGTGGCATGATCTCGGCTCATTGCAACTTACGCCTCCCAGGTTCAGGTGATTCTCCTGCCTCAGCCTCCCGAGTAGCTGGGATGACAGCTGCCAGCCACCACGCTTATCTAGTTTTTCTATTTTTAGTAGAGATAGGGTTTCACCATGTTGGCCAGTCTGGTCTCGAACTCCTGACCTCAGGTGATCTACCCACCTTGGCCTCCTAAAGTGCTGGGATCACAGGCATGAGCCACCGCGCCCGGCCTGAAGCACTTTTAAGAGTGCTTACTCAGGACTCAGATGGCAGGTTTTTACAACTTTACGAATCCATTTCCTTCATCTTTCATTCTGACACATTGATGTAGATGTAGATCCAATGGCTGAAGCTACAGTAGCCATATTATGACTGTAAAGCAAATTTAAGGAAAAAGGCCATATTCCAAAAAGAAACCAAAGAGTTAGAAGGATCAAGGAGCTACCATATGTCTATGAAGTGCCTGTATTTGATTTGATTGATTGATTTATTTTGCTGTAAGACAAGCCAGTGTAATTTCAGAACTTTTAGTAGCATACACACACAATTTCTTAACTAACACACAAAATTTCTAAGCTAAGCATTGCTCATATTTCCAGTAGGAGAATACACTGCTATACAGCTTTGAAGGTAAGTCAACATGAAATGGCAAAAGTCTAAAAATGTACATACATTTTGAGTCAGTAATTTTACTTCTACTAATTTATTTAAAGGAAATAACTAAAGTTGAGTCTAATATGTACTTATTATGATGTGATATTCAATTCAAAATTGCTTACAAATATTGGAATATCTGAAAAAACTTGAATGCTCAAAAATATAAAAATTAATAAGTAACTTATAGTAAAATTATACACAATTTAGCCACTAAAATTGATGTGTGTAATATTGTGAAACAAGAATATTTATGACATTGTGAACTATTTTAAAGTGGCATCATTTAATATACATTCAATGTACTAAGATGCACATATTGATACTGACAATGCTAATCTATAAAACATGACACATATGCACAAAAACGATCTGCATGGACATATGCCAAAAGCTGAGAGTAGTTACCTTTGGGCCTTTCAGCACTGAATAATTTATATCTGTGCTTAACTTTGAAATATATATATAATAAACATGTATCTCTTATATAATAAGAGAAGACTATGTTGGAAAAAATATATTGGACAGTTGGATGCTACATGACTAGAAATAAATAGGTTAGAGAATTGAAGTAACTGTAATTCTTCTAATTATTCACAATAGCAAAGACTTGGAACCAACCCAAATGTCCAACAATGATAGACTGGATTAAGAAAATATGGCACATATACACCATGGAATACTACGCAGCCATAAAAAATGATGAGTTCATGTCCTTTGTAGGGACATGGATGAAACTGGAAATCATCATTTTCAGTAAACTATCGCAAGAACAAAAAACCAAACACTGCATATTCTCACTCATAGGTGGGAATTGAACAATGAGATCACATGGACACAGGAAGGGGAATATCACACTCTGGGGACTGTTGTGGGGTGGGGGGAGGGGGGAGGGATAGCATCAGGAGATATACCTAATGCTAGATGACGAGTTAGTGGGTGCAGCGCACCAGCATGGCACATGTATACATATGTAACTAACCTGCACAATGTGCACATGTACCCTAAAACTTAAAGTATAATTAAAAAAAAAAAAAGAAATCTGAAAGCTATCTCAGTTTTTTTTTTTTTTTTTTACTATATCTGAGAAGGAGAAGTCTGAAAAAGTTTTCTGATGAAATGAAGACAAATTTCTGTGGCTTTCTTTTGGCTGGGGTTCACACAGTGTTGGTCTACTAACTTATAATTCCAGGTGACAACATGTGACATTAGGAGACATGTGCTTATTACATATTATAATGCATCAATTTGCCTATGAAACCCTTGAGAAAATCATCTGTGTCTTGTCTAGTCTTATTTATTTTTATTTTTGAGACAGGGTCTCACTCTGTCACACAGTGACCGGCTCACTGCAGCGTCAACCTCCCAGGCTCAACTGATCCTCTCGCCTCAGCTCCCCAAGTAACTGGGACTACAGGGTCATGCCACCACGCCTTACTAATTTTTGTATTTTTTGTAGAGGTTGGGTTTTGCCATGTTGCCCAGGCAGGTCTTGAACTCCCAGGCTCAAGCTATTCTCCAGCCTCGGCCTCCAATCTTTACACCCCGTGTCTGGCACGGCATAGCTTTGAGCATGTTAGAATGGATTGCATATGCAATTGCATCCACCTTTTTTTTTTTTTTCTTTGAGACGGAGTCTCACTCTGTTGCCAGGCTGGAGTGCAGTGGCACCATCTTGGCTCACTGCAACCTCTGCCTCCCGGGTTCAAGTAATTCCTCTGCTTCAGCTTCCTGAGTAGCTGGGACTACAGGCACGCGCCACCACACCCAGCTAATTTTTGTACTGTTAGTAGAGACGGGGTTTCACTATATGTTGGCCAGGATGGTCTCAATCTTTTGACCTTGTGATCTGCCCACCTCAGCCTCCCAAAGTGCTGGGATTATGGGCATGAGCCACCGTGCCCAGCTGCATCCACCTTTTAGTCCCAGGATGTGCTAGGGTCTTTCTTTGGTATCTCCTTTTAAGCAAAATGTTCTTATTCCTGGTTCATTGCATAGAAACCTTGGTAGACAAAAATTTAAAAAGGAGAAGATAAATAGAAAAATTATATTTCCAAAGTAGGTAGCACATTTATGTGAGAAATGATTGAACTAGTGTGGTAGGCAGTTTTCTGGGCTGCTTATTCTCGGGTACGGCCAAAAGCTTAAGACTGGCTAATGAGTTACGAGCTGAAGTGACTTGTTGGCTGAGAATTTAGTTACCTGTGTGAGATCATCAAAAGTGTACTCTCTCTCCTCTTTGAATGGTAACCAACAATTTTCAAGATGTTACTTGCTTAGTCACTTGGATCCCTAAGTGACTATAGTGTACAAAGACCCACTTCTGTGCTGGTCTTCCACAAATGTGTAGTATGACCAAGAAACAAGTCTTTATTGTATACTATAATTACACATACCTTGAACTCAGTATTGACTTATGATCCCATTATATAATGATGAAATAAGTTTATTATTGAAAGAAAAATACACATATGTATTTTGCATTATGAGAAACCCAGGAGATATCCAAAAGCATGTGAGCATACACACGTAGACACAGACATCTGTAAAAAACTCAACTTGAATGCCATTACCCAGAAAAAGCTTTCACTAGTGTTATGCAAATGTAATTTCAGGCATCTCTTTATACATGTATACAAATAGAAAGCTAAACAGATAGACATACAGAAATGAATAATTTTTCAAAATGATACTGCAGAAAGCATTACATATGAATTTAATCAGATATGAAACAAGAGAGTGAAACTGGAATAAAAGTAAAATTAACACCAACTTATGGACATTTAAGAAAAATGTTTTTTCACCAGAGATTCTCGTTCTCTTTTGTATGCATTGGATATACTTGATGGTAGTAAGGAATTAATTTTTAAGTATGATAATGGTATATATGTGTATGCTAGCCAAAAGGATTTTTATGACTTAGAGTTACACACTGAAGTTAATGCTCAAATTATAGCATGTCTGCTATCACTCAACTTAATCCAAAAAGGGGTGTGGATGAAAAAAGTAGATGGAGTGAAATTGGTCATAGGGAACTGTTTCAGCCCTGGCTCATGGTTATGGGTGGATTCATTATGGGTCATGGTTGTGGGTGGATTCATTATAATACTCTGTGTACTTTCATGTATGTTTGCAACTGTCCATAATTTCAAATTAAAATAGAAAAGAGGGCTGGGGACGGTGGCTCACGCCTGTAATCCCAGCACTTCGGAGGCCGAGACAGGTGGATCACCTGAGGCCAGGAGTTCGAGACCAGGCTGGTCAACATGGTGAAACCCTGTCTCTACTAAAAATACAAAAATTAGCCAGGCGCAGTGGCTTGCGCCTGTAATCCTAGCTACTCAGGAGGCTGAGGCAAGAGAATTGCTTGAACCTGGGAGGCAGAGGTTGCAGTGAGCCAAGATCAAGCCACTGCACTACTGTCTGAGCAACAGAGTGATACTGGGTCTCAAAACAGGCAAACAAACAAAAACAAAAAAAGAAAAGAAAAGAAAGAAAAGAGATTCTATTTTATGAGCTGTAAGTCCATTTAAAACAACATGGGCACCCCACTAAAGAGTCTTTTTTGAACAAATGCTTGACAGTCAGGCTGAAAGGTAAGATAAAGGTTTTGAGAAAGTGGACACATGTCCACTCGTAACTGATATGACAGTGCTGAAACCGATGTTGCTCGATACTGCAGCTCTCCACATTTCCAGAAGTGAGTGGTCATACTACAAACCCAATTATTTTGCCTTCTGTTATGCCGGCTGACCATTGGATTGATGGTAGAGTAAAGGTAACAAAATTAAACAAAACTGGAATTTCATGTGAAAGGGATTTCTCTCTGCCTTTGTGATAAGGTGTATTATCATCAGTATAAAATACTTTAACTAAGTGAGGCATTTTATATTACCTGTAAAATGTATTTTAAAGAGCTAACCTTGAGAAGAATAACCCTAATTGATTATAGTTTCCAATAATTAATTCACTTTTTAAAAATTTTTATTCAATTATAATTCTTCCTAGCTGGTTTCCACTAGTAATCATTCATGTTCACTAAGAATAAAGTACGCAGAAATGGACCTAATTCTGCAACGTGAATATAGCAGTACTAATTACAAAAGTAAACTGTATAAAATGTCAAAAATAATTTGACAGATATTTTTCCTGTGACAACTTAAGAAATTAATAGGTTCAACTCAAATGTATCACTTTTAAAGTTCTGCGTATACACCCTTATCTATGCAAAGATCTCTCAAGATCTGCTGGGAAATAAGCTCTTTGTAACTTAGGCATTTTTAAACAATCTCCCAAATAATAAATACTTTAAAAATACACACACAGATTCACAGTTGAATTCTACCAGGCAGTCAAAGAAGAATTCATACCAATCCTATTGACACTATTCCACACAATACAGAAAGAGGGAATCCTCCCCTAAATCATTCTATGAAGCCAGTATCACCCTAATACCAACACCAGGAAAGGATATAACCAGAAAAAAGAATTACAGACCAATACCCCTGATGGACACATACGAAAAAATCCTTAACAAAGTAACTGGCTAACTGAACCCAACAACTTATCAAAAAGATAAGCCACCATGATCAACTGGGCTTCATACCAGGGATGCAGGGATGGCTTCACATACTCAAGTCAATAAATGTGATACAACACATAAACAGAATTAAAAACAAAAATCACACGATCATCTCAATAGACTCAGAAAAAGCAATTAATAAAATCCAGCATCGCTTTATGATTAAAAGTCTCGGCTGGGCGTGGTGACTCATGCCTGTAATCCCAACACTTTGAGAGGCCGAGGTGGGCAGATCACGCGAGGTCAGGAGTTTGAGACCAGCCTAGCCAACATGATGAAAACCCATCTCTACTAAAGACACAAAAACAACAGCTGGGTGTGGTGGTGTGCACCACCTGTAATCCCAGCTACTTGGGAGGCTGAGGCAGGAGAATTGCGTGAACCTGAGAGGCAGAGATTGCAGTGAGCCAAGATTGCGTCACCGTACTCCAGCCTAGGCTACAGAGCAAGACTCTGTCTCAAAAATAAATAAATAATAAAACTCTCAGCAAAATCGGCATACAAGGGACATACCTCAATATAGTAACAGCCATCTATGACAAACCCACAGCCCACATAATACTGAATGGGGAAAGGTTGAAAGCATTCCCTCTGAGAACTGGAAGAAGACAAGAATGCCCACTCTCACCACTTCTCTTCAACATAATACTAGAAGTCCTAGCCAGAGCAATCAGACAAGAGAAAGAAATAAAGGGCATCCAAATCAGTAAAGAGGAAGTCAAAGTTAAACCATCACTGTTTGCTGATGATATGATTATATACCTAGAAACCCCTAAAGACTCCTTCCAATAAGCTTCTCGAACTGATAAAAGAATTCAGCAAACTTTCTGGATACAAAATTAATGCACACACATCAGTAGCTCTCCTATAAATCAACAGCGACCAAGTTGAGAATCCAATCAAAAACTCAACCCCCTTTACAGCAGCTGAAAAGAAAAAAAAAAAAAAAAAAACTTAGGAACTTACCTGACCAAGGAGGTGAAGGACTTCTACAAGGAAAGCTATAAAACATTTCTGAAAGAAATCATAGATGACACAAACAAATGGAAACACATCCCATACTCATGGATGGGTAGCATCAATATTGTGAACATGACCATACTGCCAAAAACAATCTACAAATTCAATGCAATCCACATCAAAATACCACCATCATTCTTCACAGAATTAAAAAAAAAATCCTAAAATTTATATGGAACCAAAAAAGAGCCCGCATAGCCAAAACAAAACTAAGCAAGAAGAAAAAATCTGGAGGCATCATACTACCTGTTTTTAAACTCTACTATAAGGCCATAGTCACCAAAACATCATGGACTGTTATAAAAATAGTACATAGACCAGTGGAACAGAATAGAGAACCCAGAATAAACCCAAATACTTACAGTCAATTGATCTTTGACAAAGTGAACAAAAAGTAGGGAAAGGACACATTTTCAACAAATGGTGCTGGGATAATTGGCAAGCCACATGTAGGAGAATGCAACTGGATCTTCATCCTTATACAAAGATCAACTCAAGATGGATCAAGGACTTAAATCTAAGACCTGAAACTATAAAAATTCTAGAAGATAACATCGAAAAAACCCTTCTAGACATTGGCTTAAGCAAAGATTTCATGACCAAGTACCCAAAAGCAAATGTAATAAAAACAAAGATAAATAGCTGGGACTTAATTAAACTAAAGAGCTTTTGCACAGCAAAAGGAACAGTCAGCAGAGTAAAGAGACAATCCACAGAGTGGGAGAAAATCTTCACAATCTATACAACTGACAAAGGACTAATATCCAGAATCTACAAGGAAATTAAATTAGCAAGAAAAAAAGAAACAATTCCATGACAAACTGGACTAAGGACATGAATAGGGACAATTCTCAAAAAAAAGATATACAGATGGCTAACAAACATATGAAAAAATGCTCAACATCACTAATCATTAGGAAAATGCAAATAAAAACCATGATGCGATGCCACCTTACTTACACTCAAGAATGGCCATAATCAAAAAATCAAAAAATAATAGATGTTGGTGTGGATGTGGTGAAAAGGGAACACTTCTACAGTGCTGGAGGGAATGTAACTAGTGCAGCCACTGCGAAAAGCAGGGTGGAGATTCCTTAAAGAATTACAAGTAGAACTACCATTTGATCCAGCAATCCCACTACTGGGTATCTACCCAGAGGAAAAGAAGCCATTATATGAAAAAAATACTTGCACACGTGTTTATGGCAGCACAATTTGCAATTGCAAAACCGTGGAACCAACCCAAATGCCCATCAATCAATGAGTGGATAAAGAAACAGTGATATATATATATATATATATATAGATATGTATGTATATATAATATACATATATACATATATGATAGAATACTACTCAATCATAAAAGGAATGAATTAATGGCATTCACAGCCATCTGGATGAAGTTGGAGACTATTATTCTAAGTGAAATAACTCAGGAATGGAAAACCAAACATTGTATGTTCTCACTAAAATGTGGGAGCTAAGCTATGAGAATGCAAAGGTATAAGAATGACACAATGGACTTTGGGGACTCAGGAGAAAGGGTGGGAAGGGGATGAGGGATAAAAGACTACAAATTAAGTACAGTGTATACTGCTCAGGTGACAGGTGCCACCACAGTCTCACAAATCAGCATTAAAGAACTTACTCTTGTAACCAACCACCACCTGTTCCCCAATAACTTATGGAAAATAAAAAAAAAATACACATCTGCATACAGAAAGAGCTAAACAAACAAAAAGAATAAAATTATTTATTAGTTGGGAACAATCAACTCCTTTGAAAAGATCAGCTAGGAAATTTTTTTTTTTTTTTTTGAGATGGAGTCTCACTCTGTTGCCCAGGCTGGAGTGCAGTGGCACAATCTCAGCTCACTGCAAGCTCTGCCTCCTGGGTTCACACCATTCTCCTGCCTCAGCCTCCTGAGTAGCTGGGACTACAGGCACTCACCACCACGCCCGGCTAATTTTTTTTTTTTTTGTATTTTTACTAGACATGGGGTTTCACTGTGTTAGCCAGGATGGTCTCGATCTCCTGACCTTGTGATCCGCCTGCCTCGGCCTCCCAATAGGAGTTTTCTTACGGGAGGACTTGGGGACAAACTTTACTTTCAAGGTTTTTCTTGATTAGATGAAAACAAACACATAGAAAATAAGGGAAAGAAGAGTCAATCCAGACAAACACAACTGAACAGATAAATTGTTATTGGGGTGGTAGAGACAAGGAAAGCTTTGAAAAAAAATTTTCTCTATAGTGGAAACTATAAATTCAAGCTGAACAGATTTTTCTTAAGAAACATGATAAAGGACTAACTTTAGAAGACAAAGAATTGTGTTAGACATTATTTGTTATATAGTTGTGGGCCTGAAAGTGTCGTATATTAAAGGAAGTGATTAAAGGAATCTTGAAAAGAGTGCCAACCCTTTGGTGAGGGTACTGAAGAGCTGATTTATCACCATGGGAAATCTGGGAGAGGGGTGGCATGGTGCTAATATCTGGAACTAGGAAGTTAGAGCTCCCAGAGTGCTCAGGACCCATCCAGGATGCTGTTCTGCAGAATCATCTGATTCCTCACCAAGAAGTTGGAAGTGGGGACTAACGCAGGCCAGGGGAGCTATCTTGACATCCACTACCCAGACATCATTTCTAAGATTGCTACTGTCATGTCAGTTCCTAATGGACATTCGTCCACCTTCTCAAGGCCTTTACCTTTCAGTCTTTCTGTAAAGCATTTATTCAAAGGAGATTCTTTAGTGGGGTGGCCAGGTTGTTTCAAATGGGCTTATATTTCATAAACTAGAATATCTTTTTCATTTTACTTGGAAGCTATGGAGAATTGCAAACATACGTGAAAGTAGACAGAATATTATAATGAATCCACATATACTCATGACCCAGGGCCAAAACAATTTTCCTATGACCAATTCCATTCCAACTGCTTCTTCCTCCAAACCCTTTTTGGATTAATTTGAATGATGGTAGACATGATATAATTTAACCATTGATAATCTCAGTATGTAACTCTGAGACATAAAAAATAGTTTTGTTAGCATAACTATATATATATCCCATTATCATACTTAAAATTAATAATTTCTAAAACTAGTTTCTGAAAGCAATGTGGAGATCACCAATTCTGAAAGTTGGTACAACTTAAATTGACTTCAGGCTAAAACAGCCATTACTTTCTTTTAGCAAACCATTTTACATAAGATTGAAATGAGAAGTAACTAAAAGTTAGAAACTCCATAAATGGTGCCAAAGTGATCTGTGATGAGACTTTTGTGAAATTAGAGACAACAATCTAAATTTCATTGATGTATATATTTTTAATCAGATAGTAACTTTTAGTTTTTACCCTTCCTTAGTTTTTTCAGTAACTATTCCTTGAAAAATACCTTCTGAGTCTCTAGGACCTAAGAATGGAATAGGTGAGTCCACACTTATTAAACATAGAAAAATTGAGGATTGAGTTCCTCCTAGAGAATGAGTATGGTGCCCCAATTTGGTGACTAAAAGGGATCCCCTTGGAAAGCGTTTCAGAGAAGAAGGGATAAAAATGAAGCCCTCTAGTGCCTTTCTAATAAGGCTCTTTTCCTCACTAAGTGATGCTTACAATAAGAAGAGACATCTTGGTTCCTAGGCCCATCATCCTCTGTGCAATTCATCTTGAGACGGAGGCCATTCTGTTTTTCAACATGAGGCATAGAAGAGACAAGGATCTAGATTTAGAGAACAAAATGTATTCATATACAAGGACCTCTGTCCTTAAGGATAAGAGCAAAGTATGCATATTACCTTCCCATCTCAATTTACTTGGAGATAGGAAACATACAAACACACACATGCATCAATTGCATATGTAGTTGTACGTCTCTATATGTGTATACATATCAAGATATTATAGCATTATGGAGGGATATTATTATGCAGTCATACAATTTTTCTACTAATGAAATATTATGATATGGTCGTTATTATCCCCCATTTACAGGTGAAGGTATCAATCAATTCTTGCTACCTGCTCTCAGATGGAATGTGACAACTCTCTTTTAGATATTCTTGCCCTTCAAATCTTCCATACAGTATGGTAACTGTTCATTGAACCCTTGGTTAAAAATGTTGGCATCCTGTTTGTCTTTTTAGAAGGCTCTTCTTAATATAGACTTGCCTTCTCATTCATGGATTTGGTAAACCGCCCTTTAAATCCACTGTGCTGTTCTGATCAGTCTTTACTCAACCTTTGGAAATTACACCTGAGATTTGGAAAACATTCTTAGATTTCATCACGAAAAAAAAAAAAAAATTAATGGTCAAGCTCAGCATTTCAGTGGGGAAAGACATACTCAGGGAGTGTGAACAGAAAAATATTTACATTGAGTTTCTCCCTTGCTCTATTGGGAGACTGGACTAAACAATGATGTTTAGATGGGAATAGTATCTGAAACCAACGTTTGGATGGGGATAATTTAAATTACAAACAGAAGCTATTAGAATGAAAAGAACTACTGGCTAAATTACCAGCTGAAAGCACTCTTTATGGAAAACATATACAAAGTTCCTCACACAGTATCGATGGACACAGAATGAACGACCACTCGGCAGGCATCAAATCCATTTCACTAATTCCCTTGGTCAGAAGAAAAGACACTAACCCAGAATGGAGCCAATCAGCAGAGCCAAGGTGTACTATGCAAACTGCACACACTGGCAAATCCATAAATCTATTGTAATTGAGGTAGGCTCTTTATTTAGAGAAGAAGGAACATTTTGAAATATTCTGTCCTCTATTAAAGAACTATAGAGATTATAAAAGCCTAATAATCTTTCATTAATTAATTTTTTTTTTTGAGACAGAGTCTTGCTCTGTCACCCAGGCTGGAGTGCAGTGGCATGATCTCAGCTCACTGCAACCTCCATCTCCCAGGTTCAAGCGATCCTTCTGCCTCTGCCTCTTGAGTAGCTGGGACTACAGGTATGCACCACCACACTTGGCTAATTTTTTTTTTTTTTTGTATTTTTAGTAGAGATAGGGTTTCATCATGTTGGCCAGGCTGGTCTTGAACTCCTGACCTCAGGTAATTTGCCCGCCTTAGCTTCCCAAAGTGCTGGGATTACAGGCATGAGCCACCATGCCCAGCCCCATTAATCTATTTTTAAGGAACATTATTTAAATTTTAAAGTTAGTGATAAAAATAATAATACTAGTTACCAAGTTAATGTCCAGCATGATGTAGGTTTCATGCCACTTACTTACACATTATTTAAATTATAAGGGAAGGCAGTGATATGTCTAGCTTCCCACCACTGTGCTGGTAATGCCAGACACAGGCTCAGATGGTTTAACAACAAAGCCTTCCTTCAAAATCAGTTATGTAGAAGAAAAGAGCCAAGACCCAGGTTGATGCTTTTTTCTTTATTATCTAATACCTAGGATAATTTAGACATCTAACTTCTGAAAGTTAATTCATGTTTTTCTGACAATCCAACTATTTTTAAAAGCATAATAATCATATCAAGTAACTATGAGGCCAAGTAGTAAAACATCCAAAGAGAAAAGCCAATTATTTTAATGTTTACTGATTTATCCATTTATTCAAAAAATGGACCCAATATTATAAAGCACTGGGCTGCATAAGCAGGTTTTTTCTAAGTGATAACACAGACTTTCCATTTTTTTTCCCACACCAAAATAAGATATATTCACTGCAAAATCAACCCTGGTTCTCTTCACCTGAAATGAATTATGGGTATTGTGATAATATGAATAATATTCAAAATTTCTAAGTGGGCCTCAATACTGAGGACAACAGAAAGACTCAATTTTGTATAGAGGAGAGATGAACAATTAGTTCATTAACTCTTTATTAGATTGCAAGGAGAAGGTTAATTGGTAATTCAATAGTTTTAACGGTAACCATGGTACTCTGTTGGCTTGGCATACAGGAAGAACATAATCATTAGCATAGAGGAACTCACAGATAAGTCAATTCTAGAAGTTAGTAGTCAGAATTAAAAAAAGAAAAAATTATAGCCATTCTGTTTTGAGAGCTTCTAGTCAACAAATAAAACCCTGAACAGAATATAATGCCTACCCGCTGCCTGGAGCATGAAGTGGAGGCCCAAACAGAAATGCTGTAGAACTGAAGTTACCCCCATAGAATAGTCATAAACAAAGCACCTCGTAGGGCATTATTTTGAGTTGGAGGTGCTTTAATATGTATGTCCTCTTTATTCTTTAAAAAGAGACTTGATCCTAGGGAAAACTACTTATTTTATGAAAAGTTAAAACATTATGGCTTCAGGCTAGAATGATTTTACATTTCTAGACATTCTGCTTATGGAGTTAGTTCTATAAGAATTGTGTCCTAAACAGGGCATAATGGCTTACACCTGTAACCCAGCTACTTGGGAGGTTGAGGTGGGAGAATTTCTGGAGGCCAGGAGTTTGAGACCAGCCTGGGCAACATAGCAATGACTCATCTCTACAAAATTGAAAAAAAAAAAAAAAATTGCCAAACATGGTTGTGCATGCCCATAGTCCCAGCTACTTGGGAGGCTGAGGTGGGAGGATCTCCTGAGCCCAGGAGTTCAAAGCTGCGTTGGGCCTTGATAATGCCTCTGCACTCCATCCTGGGCAAGAGAGACAGAGCAAGACCCTGTTTTTAAAAAAAAAAAAAATCTGTTCTCACTTCACTTTCTTTTCTGAGACAGTCTTGCTCTTGTTGCCCAGGCTGGAGTGCAATGGTGCAATCTTGGCTCACCACAACCTCCACCTCCCAGGTTCAAGTGATTCTCCTGCCTCAGCCTCCCAAGTAGCTGGGATTACAGGCATGCACCACCACTCCAGGCTAATTTTGTATTTGTAGTAGAGACGGAGTTTGTCCATTTTGGTCAGGCTGGTCTCCAATTCCCGACCTCACGTGATCCACCTGCCTCGGCCTCCCAAAGTGTTGGGATTACAGGCGTGAGCCATGGCACCTGGCCCTCACTTCACTTTCTTCAGGCAATTTAAGCTATAATACGATTCTGGTGGAAGCCCAGTGACAATCATTAGATAACTCTGCTGTATGTAAATATCTATAGACAGGACAGGGAGCAAAAACTTGAAATTTAAATGAAAATTGCATGATTCTTTTTCATTCATTACATTAGACTCAGATCTTTGAGAAAAAAGGGAGAAAAAGTATCTTAAAAAAGATTTTAACAAGGCCTGCCATACTGTTCTTGGCTATGTGATTAATTAATGAATCCATTCCTTCATTCATTCATGCAATATAACAAGTACTGATCATCTAAGGTTGACCAACAATTTGAGTTAGGCAACATGGATATAATGGTTAACACAATACACTTCCTGTCCTCAAGGAATTTAAAGTGCAGTGAAAAAGACACAATACCAAACATATGATTATAATTTAGTGATACACATGCCAATCAAGGGCATTTTTGAGTAGGCAAGTGATGGTATAGGAATCAAATAATACCAATTTTAATTCACAAGTTGCATTTAGGGCTAAGATGTTAGGAGTGTCACAACTCTTTTAGAATTTATCTAGCATAATAATACATACATTTTAGAATTTATTTATTGTAGATAAATCTAGAATTTATTTATGGTAGGTAAATCTAGAATTTATCCAGAAATTTTAACTGAACCCCCTGCCCTGTCATGGGGGGAAAAAGATGTTGCTGGGCGTAGAAGTGGTCACCTTTTCTCATAACTATGTTCAGGCAGAAAGTACCCTCTGTAATTTGGTCAATAAAAATAGACAAGAGTGAAAGAAAATGTAAGATGAGAAGGAAAGAAGGAAGGTCTAAAGCATGCTGAAAGGTTTGCAAGTTAAAAAAAAAAAAGGTGGGGGGGATATGTAAAGGGGAATGTAATATAACAGAATACAGAATCTGGATATTTCTTTCACTTCATCACCAAAGACTCATGGACCATGGTGACTCTTGGCACAGTGTGGAGACACCTGAATGTACCTGGGCCTTATCCAATGGGATGTTTTCTTACTATGGAGAAAATGATGACTATGGAGGGGTGTGTGTGTATGTGTGTTTATAAGATAAAAGAACTGTACAGCTAAGAGACGTAACACTCTGGAACCGAGGTAAGTTTGATGAAAGAAATTTACTTCATGGGGATACTTTCACCTGGCAGATTTGCAGCCTTCTTTTCTGAGGGCCAAGGGGCAGGCAGTTTGACTAGCATCATTACTTTCACAGGTTTTTAACTGCATGTAATTTTGGTCTGAACCTCATTGCCAGTGAGGATGGAAAAAAATGTATACCTTCCAGAAATGTTAAAGGAGTGGTATTAGTTATGTATTGTTGCATAACAAATTACTCTAACACTTAGCAGCTTAAATCAACAAACATTTCATAGGTCACATGGTTCTGTTGGCCAGGAATCTGGAAGCAACTTAGCTGAGTGGTCTGGTTTAGGGTCTCTCAAGAGGCTGCAGTCGTTATGTTGACCAGAAATGCAGCCAATCTGAAGGCTTTAATAGGCCTGGAGGATGTGTTTCCACAGCAGCTCATACATATATCATGCTGACTGTTGGCAGGAGACTTCAGTTCCTCACCATGTAGACCCCTCTATAAGGTTATTTGAGTGTTTCCATTAGAGTAAGTTGGCTTTCTCCAGAGCAAGTAATCCAAGGGCACAAAGGGAACCCAGCCATGGAAGTCACAAGCCATCATTTCTGCAATATCCTCTGGGTTACTGCCCTACTTAATGTCAGTAGAGAATATATACAGTGGTGTGAATACCAAGAGGCAAAATTCACTGGGGGCCACTTTAGAGCCTGGCTACAATAGAAGAAAAGTGAAACATTCGTTTACTGGTAGATTGGATATAAGAAAGAATGGGGAAATCAGGTATGAAACCCAGGAGTCTGGTTTTTGACAGTATTATTGCTTTTGTTTAGAAGTGTTTTACATTTGCACTTTCCTGCTGTGTATTTCTGAACATGTATACATGACAACTATTATTTCTCTAGGGTAAGTCACAGGGGTGATTTGTTAGATCGCAATGAGGTTGTTAATTTGTTATCTCCTGGAGAAAGGTAAGGGAAAGTATCCTAGGGACCGTTACAAAACTATCTCAACAAATTAATGAAACTAGAATGTGCGTATTTTTAAGATATGTCGAAAGTATAGGAATTGAAAATTGGTTAGCACTCTTTAGCACTGGAGAACAAAGCTAATGGCTGTGTAGTATGAAAAATGCTGATTTTCTCTAAATCAAGGTTTCTTAAATGTGGCATTATTAACATATTAGGCTGCATAATTTTTTATTTTTGCTATCGGAGGACTTTCCTGTGTATTGTAGAATGTCTAATGGCATTCTTTGCCTCTGTTCACAAGATGTCATTAGTACCACCTTTCCATTGTGACAGAAAAATATGACTCTAACATAGCCAAATGTTTTCTTGGAAGGTGGTGCAGGTCCCGGGTGAGGTGGACAGTAAAATCACATTGGGTCAATAAGTAAGGCTGTAAACATTTTTGGCTATATATATATATATATATATATATATATTTTTTTTTTATCTTTTGGTTAAGGCTTTGCAAAAATTATGTTAATACAAAAATCTGGCTTTGGTGAAATCTTGTAATTAACCAAAAGTCAATGCCAGTCATAAAAATATAATTTTTCTCTAATTCAAGTGAAAATACAGGGCAAGAAACTCATTCAGATAAAAATGAAAACAAAATTTTATGTCAGGCCAGCCTCCAAAAATTGAATGCCTGTGGGCTAAGCCTTCTAATAACTTGGGCTTTTTGAATTGGAAAAAAAAAAAAAACTTTCTCATCCCCTTTACTACTGAACTGAAGTAAACATGAAATTGTGTGATGGGACAGAAAGAGACTCCACATTTGAACGAGTAGTAGTAGTATTAAGGAGTAGTATTAAGAAAATGTTTATAAGAAAAGTCAAGCGTCTTTCATAGAAAGGCAAGCCAAGTCATGCTATTGTTTCTATAATCGTTCCATGGTTCTTCTAGGGCAGACTGAAATGATTGCTGTACTGGGCATTGTGGCTCATGCCTGGAATCCTAGAACTTTGGGAGAGAGGTGAGAGAATCTCTTGAGGCTGGGAGTTTGAGACTAGCCTGGGTAACACAGCACAACCCTGTCTCTACAAAAAAACTTTAAAAAGTAGCTGGGCATGGTGGCACTTGCCTGTATTCCCAGTTACTAGGGAGGCTGAAGTGGGAGGATTGCTTCAGCCCAGGAATTTGAGGTTGTCATGAGCTATGATTGTGCCAATGCACTACAGCACAAGCAACAGAGCAAGACCCTGTTTCTAAAAAAACAAACAAAAACCCTGAAAAAAGAAATAATGAAATGCTTGTCATTTTACCTGAAACACTGAAACATCAAAAACCAGTAAGAATATATCACTGCTCTTATTTGTACAAGGCATTACAGAAACATTATACCCTACTATAATAAGGCAGATTAGATAATAGCTAGTTTATTTCTTCCAGAATGTAGTATAGCACTAAGATTATGTTGTACAAAGTATAACATGACTTTAAGAATGGCAGAGCAAGCAGTTTTATGTACTCTCTTTCCAGCAAAATAAGCCTAACTAGTGAAAACTATTAGAAAAAACAAACGCCACCATATAAAGCCTGTGAAAATTAATTGATTATAGGGCAACTCATAAAATATTTATTTAAGAAAATCTACTAAATCTTGTTAAGAACAGCAAGTGTCTGTGGAATTTGAGTCAATTATCCCACCCTGACCCCAGCTCAGCCTAATGGAAGCCTTACCCAAGGTAAGTGCAGCCAAAAACACAGGGTATCCTTTCCCCTTGTCTCCCAGTCTAGGACTATCAGTGCCCTGAGGGAGAACCAGGTCACCAGCATTTTTCATCCTTCCCTGCTGTGTCTCTGCAGAACCTCCTTTCTTCACGCAACAATGCTGAGAAGTCTGGGGCTCTCTCTATTACTCAGTGCCCATTTTTATGGCATAAACTCTACTCCAAGAGTGGCTGATTGAGAATACTGAGACACATATCACCCCTATCACAGCTCACCTGCAGATTGAAGATTCTATGTCAGGAGAAGCAAGCTCAGAAGACCAGTGGCTACCAGTTCACTCAGTGCCCTACTCCTAAAGCTGGGGTATCATTCTTGGAGAAAAAGATCACTTTTCCTTTCCATCACTACAGTACAGTGGTGCAGAAGTTTTGCCTAGGGGGACAAGGAAGCCACAATAACAGCTTTGACAGTCTCCTCAAGACAAGTGATTTTATTTGAAACAATATCTGGGAAGTTCAAACCGAAGGATACCCTTAAGAAAAATGGAGAGATTGGTGGTAAGCAATTAAGAGGAGACTAATAGCTTCATGGCGGCAACAAGCTAGGTTATAAATGAACTAGAAATTTATGAGGGAGAACCAGAAAAAGAGTCAGCTAAGAAGGTTCTCCTGGAGTTGGAGCAAACCTCAAAGACTGACCCAAGGACTACCCCTGCAAGAGGACTGCATTTCATTGGATCAGACACTGGAGCAATTTATGCTCTGAGGCAAGTAATGGAGGCTAATACCTGGGTATGATATCAACAAGAGCTGACAGCTGAATAGAGAAATCAGGGAAAGAGACAATCAAAGGTTGTTCTCTAAAACCACTGTCATCCTAGAGAGATGTATTCATGCCAAGGCTTGGCCCTCTAAGGAAAGACATCAGAAACTATCCCCTTTTGCAGAAATAAAATTCACTAAAATGATCCACCCAAGCCACTAAACAAATAAACAGGCAAACAACAACAAAAACAAGATTCTAAAAGTGCCATTCATTTCCAGAGTTTGGACAATCTGTTTTCTGAAATGTAAGGTTTTCAACAAAACTATTGCACATGGACAGAAACAGGAAAGTGAGTCTCATCCTTGGGATGAGCAGACAATAGAAACTGCTAATGGTAAGTCTTGACTTATAACCAAAGAAACATAAACTAAAAACTAAAGGAAACCAGTATTAGAAAAGTAAAGAAAGGTATGATGACAATACCTTATTAAACAAAGAAAATCAATAAAGTTATAGAAATTCTAAAAAGAAACTAAAAGGAATTTTTCAAGCTTCAAAGTACAAAAACTGAAATGAATATATCACTACAGAGGCTCAAAGCTAGATTTGAGCTGGCAGAGAAGAGAATCAGTGAACTGGATAATATATAGACAGTAATTATGCATTCTCAAGAACAAAGAGAAAAAAGAAGAAAAATGAGCATTGTCTCGGAGAATTGTAAGGCACTATTCCCAAATCTGGCTGCACATTAATATCACCAGGGGAGTTTTGAAAAATCCTGATGCCTAACTTGCACTCTATATTAGTTAACAGGTCTAGGAGTGGGAGCCTGACACCAGTATTTATTTATTTTTTTTTTGAGATGTAGTCTTGCTCTGTTGCCCAGGCTGGAGTGCAGTGGTGCAATCTCGGCTCATTGCAACCTCCACCTCCTGGGTTCAAGCAATTATCCCTGCCTCAGCCTCCTGAGTAGCTGACATTTACAGGCACCCACCACCATGCTTGGTTAATTTTTGTATTTTAGTAGAGACTGGGTTTCACCATGTTGGCCAGGCTGGTCTCAAACTCCTGACCCCAGATGATATGCCTGCCTTGGTCTCCCCAACGTGCTGAGATTGCAGGCATGAGCCACTGTGCCTGGCCTAGACACCAGTATTTTTTTTTTAAATCCCCAAAGTGGTTCCAATGTACAGCAAAGTTTGGGGACCACTGGCATAGACCAAAGCTAAGATACAGAGTTAAGTGGCTCTGTTTAAATATGTCATGATGGATCTTTAAATAAAGCAAGGCTTTCTTTGAACTTCCTCATGTTATTAAAAGCAGACTTTGGGGGCTGTTTAACCTTATAATAAAGATGCCAAATAGAAATTTTTATTCTACAGAGATTCTCTGTAAACAGTAGATAATCTAGGTCGTTATTTTCTATTGTTCTTGCTCCATTATTAACATTTTTGTTTTTAATTTTAAGCAGGGTGCAGCAGTTCACATCTGTAATCCCAGCACTTTGGGAGGCCAAGGCAGGCAGATCACCTGAGGTCAGGAGTTCGAGAACAGCCTGGCCAACATGGTAAAACCCTGTCTCTGCTAAAAATACAAAAATTAGCTGGGCATGGTGGCAGGTGCCTGAAGTCTCAGCTACTCAGGGAGGCTGAGGCAGGAGAATCACTTCAAGCCAGGAGGCACAAGTTGCAGTGGGCTGAGATGGCACCACCGTACTCCAGCCTGGGTGAAAGAGTAAGACTCTCTCTCAAAAAACAAAACAAAATAAAATTTGTTTTTAATTTTTAAAATCACATCAGCCACCTTCTAATTATGAGTATTACAAATTTGCCTCATGCTTTTTTGTCTCTTGAACCAGTCATTCTGAGAACTCATAAGTAAAATTCAGTCAAGATTTTTTAAAACGCCGCATAAGTTTAATGAGAGTACCAAGTGTAAGGAGAAGAGATAGAGATGGAGCAAAAAAACAAAGTTTGAAGGAATCATGACTAAAAACTTTACAGGGTAGGCTGGCAAGATGGCCGAATAGGAACAGCTCTGGTCTGCAGCCCCCAGTGAGATCAACACAGAAGGTGGGTGATTTCTGCATTTCCAACTGAGGTATCTGGCTCATCTCACTGGGACTGGTTAGACAGTGGGCACAGCCCACAGAGGGCAAGTTGAATCAGGGTGGGGCGCCACCTCACCTGGGAAGTGCGAGGGGTTGGGGAACTTCCTCCCCTAGCCAAGGGAAGCCATGAGGGACTGTGCCGTGAGGGATGGAGCTATCCGGCCCAGGTACTAGGCTTTTTCCATGGTCTTCACAATCTGCAGACCAGGAGATTCCCTCAGGTGCCTACACCACCAAGGCCCTGAGTTTCAAGCACAAAACTAGGCAGCCCTTTCGGCAGACACCAAGCTAGGTGCAGGAGTTTTTTTGTCATACCCCAGTGGCACCTGGAACACCAGCAAGACAGAACCGTTCACTCCCCTGGAAAGGGGGCTGAATCCAGGCAGCCAAGTGATCTAGCTCAGTGGATCCCACCCCCATGGAGCCCAGCAAGCTAAAATCCACTGGCTTGAAATTCTGGCTGCGAGGACAGCAGTCTAAAGTCAACCTGGGATGCTTGGGCTTGGTGAGGGAAGGGGCGTCTGCCATTACTGAGGCTTGAGTAGGCAGTTTTCCTCTCCCAGTAAACAAAGCTGCTGGAGAGTTTGAACTGGGCAGAGCCCACTGCAGCTCTGCAAAGCAGCTGTAGCCAGACTGCCTCTCTAGATTCCTGCTCTGTGGGCAGAGCATCTCTGAAAGAAGGGCAGCAGCCCCAGTCAGGGGCTCATAGATAAAACTCCCATCTCCGTGGGACAGAGCTCCTGCGGGAAGGAGCAGCTGTGGGCACTGCTTTAGCAGACTTAAATGTTCCTGCCTGCTGGCTCTGAAGAGAGTAGTGGATCTCCCAGCACAGCGCTCAAGCTCTGTAAGGGACAGACTGCCTCCTCAAGTGGGTCCCTGATCCCCGAGCCTCCTGACTTGGAGACATCTCCCAGCAGGGGTGGACAGACACCTCATACAGGAGAGCTCTGGCTGGCATCCAGTAGCTACCCCTCTGGGACAAAGCTTCCAGAGGAAGGAAGAGGCAGCAATCTTTGCTGTTCTGTAGCCTCCGCTGGCAACACCCAGGCAAACACGGTCTGGAGTGGACCTCCAGCAAACTCCAGCAGACCTGCAGCAGAGGGGCTTGACCGTTAGAAAGAAAAGTAACAAACAGAAAGGAAGGAATAGCATCAACATCAACAAAAAGGACATCCACACCAAAACCCCATCCAAAGGTCACCAACATCAAAGACCAAAGGTAGATAAATCCACAAAGGTGAGGAAAAACCAGCTCAAAAAGGCTGAAAATTCCAAAAACCAGAATGATTCTTCTCCTCCAAAGGATCACAACCACTTACCAGCAAGGGAACAAAACTCGATGAAGAATGAGTTTGACGAATTGACAGAAGTAGGCTTCAGAGAGTGGGTAATAACAAACACCTCTGAGCTAAAGGAGCATGTTATAACCCAATGCAAGAAGTTAAGAACCTTGTAAAAAGGTTAGCGGAATTGCTAACCACAATAACCAGTTTAGAGATGAACATAAATGACCTGATGGAGCTGAAAAACACAGCACAAGAAATTTGTGAAGCATATACAAGTATCAGTAGCCTAATCGATCAAGCAGAAGAAAGAATATCAGAGACTGAAGATCAACTTAATGAACTAAAGCATGAAGACAAGATTAGAGAAAAAATAATGAAAAGGAGAGAACAAAGCAACCAAGAAATATAGGACCATGTGAAAAGACCAAACCTATGTTTGGTTGGTGTACCTGAAAGTGACGGGGAGCATGGAAACGAGTTGGAAAACACTCTTCAGGATATTATCCAGGAGAACTTCCCCAACCTAGCAAGACAGGCCAGCATTCAAATTCAGGAAATACAGAGAACACCACAAAGATACTCCTCAAGAAGAGCGACCCTCAAGACACATAGTCATCAGAATCACCAAGATTGAAATGAAGAGAAAATGTTTACGGCAGCCAGAGAGAAAGGTTGGGTTACCCGCAAAAGGAAGCCAATCAGACTAACAGCATATCTCTCTGCAGAAACCCAACAAGCCAGAAGACAGTGGGGGCCAATATTCAACACTCAAAGAATTTTCAACCCAGAATTTCATATTCAGCCAAACTAAACTTCGTAAGTGAAGAAGAAATAAAATCCTTTACAGACAAGCAAATGCTGAGACATTTTGTCACCGCCAGGCCTACCTTACAAGAGCTCCTGAAGGAAGCACTAAATTTGGAAAGGAAAAACCAGTACTAGCCACTGAAAAAAACATAACAAATTGTAAAGACCATCAACACTATAAAGAAACTGCATCAACTAACAGACAAAATAAGCAGCTACCATCATAATGACAGGATCAGATTCACATATACCCATATTAACCTTAAATGTAAATGGGCTAAATGCTCCAATTAAAAGACACAGATTGGCAAATTGGATAAAGTGTCAAGACCCATTGGTGTGCTGTTTTCAAGAGACCCATCTCACATGCAAAGACACACACAGGCTCAAAATAAAGGGATGGAGGAATATTTACCAAGCAAAAAGAAAGCAAAAGAAAGCAGGAGTTGCAATCCAAGTCTCTGATAAAACAGACTTTAAAGCAACATAGATCAAAGGAGACAAAGAAGGGCATTACATAATGGTGAAGGGATCAATGCAACAAGAAGAGCTAACTGTCCTAAATATATATGTACCCAATACAGGAGCACCCAGATTCATAAAGCAAGTTCTTAGAGACCTACACAGAGACTTAGACTCCCACACAATAATAATGGGAGATTTTAACACCCCATTGTCAATCGTAGACTGATCAATGAGACAGAAAATTAACAAGGATATTCAGGAATTGAACCCAGTTCTGGACCAAGTGGACCTAATAGACATCTACAGAACTCTCCACCCCAGATCAACAGAATATATATTCTTCTCAGCACCATATCGTACTTATTCTAAAATTGACCACATCGTTAGAAGTAAAACACTCCTCAGCAAATGCAAAAGAATGGAAATCATAACAAACAGTCTCTCAGATCCCAGTGCAATCAAATTACAACTCAGGATTAAGAAACTCACTCTAAACCAAAAAACTACATGGAAACTGAACAACCTGCTCCTGAATGTCTACTGGGAAAATAACAAAATGAAGGCATAAATAAAGATGTTATTTGAAACCAATGAGAACAGAGACACAACGTACCAGAATCTCTGGGATACAGCTAAAGCAGTGTTTACAGGGAAATTTATAGCACTAAATGCCCACAGGAGAAAGCAGGAAAGATCTAAAATTGACACCCTAACATCACAATAAAAATAACTAGAGAAGCAAGAGCAAACAAATTCAAAAGCTATCAGAAGACAAGAAATAACTAAGATCAGAGCAGAACTGAAGGAGATAGAGACATGAAAAACCCTTAAAAAAAAAAAATCAATGAATCCAGGAGCGGGATTTTTGAAAAGATTAACAAAACAGTTAGACTGCTAGCCAGACTAACAAAGAAGAAAAAAAAATCGAATAGAAACCATAAAAACTGATAAAGGGGATATCACCAGTGATCCCACAGAAATGCAAACTACCATCAAAGAATACTATAAACACCTCTATGCAAATAAACTAGAAAATCTAGAAGAAATGGATCAATTCCTGGACTCATACACTCTCCCAAGGCTAAACCAGGAAGAAGTCAAATCCCTGAATAGACCAATAACAAGTTCTGAAATTGAGGCAGTAATTAATAGCCTACCAACCAAAAAAAGCCCAGGACCAGATGGATTCACAGCTGAATTCTACCAGAGGTACAAAGAGGAGCTGGTACCATGCTTTCTGAAATTATTCCAAACAATAGAAAAAGAGGGACTCCTCCCTAACTCATTTTATGAGACCAACATCATCCTGATACCAAAACCTGCCAGAGATATTAAAAAAAAGGGGGGGAATTTCAGGCCAATATCCCTGATGAATATCGATGTGAAAATCTTCAATAAAATACTGGCAAACCAAATCCAGAAGCACCTCAAAAAGCTGATCCACCACATTCAAGATGGCTTCATTCCTGGCATGCAAGATGGGTTCGACATATGCAAATCAATAAATGTAATCCATCACATAAACAGAATAAATGACAAAAACCACATGATTATCTCAATAGATGCAGAAAAGGCCTTCAATAAAATTCAACAATCCTTCATGCCAAAAACTCTCAATAAAGTAGGTATTGATGGAACACATCTCAAAATAATAAGAGCTATTTATGAAAAACCTACAGCCAATATCATACTGAATGGGCAAAGGCTGGAAACGTGCCCTTTGAAAACCAGCACAAGACAAGCATGCCCTCTCTCACCACTCCTATTCAATATAGTATTGGAAGTTCTGGCCAGGGCAATCAGGCAAGATAAAGAAATAAAGGGAATTCAAATAGGAAGAGAGGAAGTCAAATTCTCTCTGTTTGCAGATAACATAATTGTGTATTTAGAAAACCCCACTGTCTCAGTCCAAAATCTCCTTAAGCTGATAAGCAAAGTCTCAGGACATAAAATCAATGTGTAAAAATCACAAGCATTCCTATACACCAATAATAAACAAACAGAGAGCCACATCATGAGTGAACTCCCATTCACAAATGCTACAAAGCGAATAAAATGCTTAGGAGTACAACTTACAAGGGATGTGAAGGACCGCTTCAAGGAAAATTACAAACCACTGCTCAAGGAAATAAGAGAGGACACAAACAAATGGAAAATCATTCCGTGCTTATGGATAGGAAGAATCAGTATCGTGAAAATGGCCATACTGCCCAAAGTAATTTATATATTCAATGTTATCCCCATCAAGCTACCATTGACTTTCTTCACAGAATTAGAAAAAACTACTTTAAATTTCATATGGAACCAAAATAGAGCCTGCATTGCCAAGACAATCCTAAGCAAAAAGAACAAAGCTGGAGGCATCAAAGCTACCTGACTTCAAACTATACTACAAGGTTACAGTTACCAAAACAGTATGGTGCTGGCACCAAAACAGGTATATAGACCAATGCAATAGAACAGAGGCCTCAGAAATAACACCACACATCTACAGCCATCTGATCTTTGACAAACCTGACAAAACCAAGCAATAGGGGAAGGATTCCCTATTTAATAAACGGTGTTGGGAAAACTGGGTAACCATATGCAGAAAACTGAAACTGGAACCCTTCCTTACACCATATATAAAAATTAACTCAAAATAGATTAAAGACTTAAACATAAGACCTAAAACCATAAAAACCCTAGAAGAAAACTTAGGCAATACCATTCAGGACATAGGCATGGGCAAAGACTTCATGACTCAAACACCAAAAATAATGGCAACAAAAGCCAAAATAGACAAATGGGATCTAATCAAACTAAAGAGCTTCCGCAAATTAAAAGAAACTATTATCAGAGTGAACAGGCCACCTACATTAAGGGAGAAAATTTTTGCAATCATCCATCTGACAAAGGGCTAATATCCAAAATCTACAAGGAACTTAAATTTACAAGAAAAAAACAACCCCATCAAAAAGTGGGAGAAAGTTATGAACAGACACTTCTCAAAAGAAGACATTTATATGGCCAACAAACAGATGAAAAAAGGCTCATCATCACTGGTCATTAGAGAAATGCAAATCAAAACCACAATGAGACATCATCTCATGGCAGTTAGAATGGTGATCATTAAAAAGTCAAGAAACAACAGATGCTGGAGAGGATGTGAAGAAATAGGAACACTTTTACACTGTTGGTGGGAGTGTAAATTAGTTCAACCATTGTGGAAGACAGTGTGGTGATTCCTCAAGGATCTAGAACCAGAAATACAATTTGATCCAGCAATCCCATTACTGGGTATGTACCCAAAGGATTATAAATCATTCTATTATAAAGACACATGCACATGTATGTTTATTGCAGTACTATCCACAATAGTGAAGGCTTGGAACCAACCGAAATGCCCATCAATGATAGACTGGATAAAGAAAATGTGGCACATATACACCATGGAATACTACGCAGCCATAAAAAAGGATGAGTTCATGTCCTTTGCAGGGACATGGATGTAGCTGGAAACTATCATTCTCAGCAAACTAACACAGGAACAGAAAACCAAACACCTCATGTTCTCACTCATAAGTGGGAGTTGAACAGTGAGAACACATGACACAGGGAGGGAAACATCACACACTGGGGCCTGTCAGAGGGGGTGGGGATGAGAGGAGGGAGAGCATTAGGACAAATAGCTAATGTAGCTGATGGGTTGATGGGTGCAGCAAACCACCATGGCACATGTATATCTATGTAACAAACCTGCATGCTCTGCACATGTATCCCAGAACTTAAAGTATATATATTTAAAAAAAACTTGACAAATTTGATTTAAAAAAAATTATCCACATATCCATGAAGCCCCAAAATTTTGAAATAGGATAAGTTCAAAAAGATCTATACACAGACACATCATACTAAAAAGATTGTAAGCCAAAGACAAAGAGAAAATATTAAATCTGCAAGAGAAAAATGATTCATGTTCGAGAACATTTTAATAAGATTAACAGTGGACTTCTCAGAGACAATGAAGTCCAAAGGTAGTTGGATGACATTCATGGTGCTGAAAGAGAAACACCATCAAACAATAATGTTACATGTACGGCACAACTATCTTTCAGAAATGAAAGGGAAATAATAAAGACCCTCTCAGATGAACAAGAAGTGGGAGAATTTGTTGATAGCAGGCCTGACTTACAAAATATACTAAAATAATTTCTTTAGACTGAAAGCAAGTGAACCCAGGCAGTAATTCCAATCCACGTGAAGGAATGAAGCATGCTTGTAAAAGTAATTATGTACTTACAGAATGATAGTTTAAGTTCATGTTTGTTCTCTGATTTTCTCAACTGATTTATAAAGCAATTATATAAAAATTATGTGTATAATTGTACTGTTAGATTTTAACATATAGATAGGTGATACTTTTGACAGTAGCAGCAGAAGGCAAGAGGGAGCAAACCTGTATTGAAGCAAGGAAGTGACACCAGATGAGAACTTTAATCCACCAAAATAAATTGCAGAAAGTATACTGTAAATGACGAAGTGAACGTAACAAATTGTGTAAATATATAATTAATCTCTTTTCTTCTCTCAGAATTTATGAGACATACAGAGTTATAACAATGTATTATTGCTGTGGTAACATATATAGATGCAATATGTATATAATATTAGCAAAAAATGAAGAAGAAATAGAGATACAGGAGTAACATTTCTATATCTCACTAGAAGTAGCTTAGTATAAATCTAAACTGCATTCTCATAAGTTAAGATGTAGCTAAGTAGATGCTGTCCTGTCTTCAAGAAAAATACTTTATATCACAGATAAAAATAGGTTGAAAAAAATCGGTTGAAAGGAAAATAAGGAAAAAATGTATATTAAGCAAATCACTATAACATGAATGCTGCAGTGGCTAGTGTATTATCAGTCAAAATAAACTTTAAAATTTAAAATGTTACAAGAGCTTAAGGAATTCTATAATGATAAATGTTTCAATTTATTGCATGATATAATTATAAGCTTACACTCGCCTAAATACAGATGCAAACAGAGCCCCAGATTACATAAAGCAAAAAGTGAAAGAATTAAAGGGAATTCCCAAAATACGGAATTCAGTGATGATAGTTGGGTATTTTAATACTTCAATTTCAATTGTGGTGAGAACTGCTTGGCAGAAAATCAACAAGATAAGACTTGAGGAACACTATAAACCAATTAGACCTAAAAGACACCTATGGAACATTCTATGCAACTACAACAGAGTATAGATTCTCTCAAGTCCACGTGGAAAACTCTGAGATAGACCATCTGCTACATTATAAAACAAGTCCTCCACATATTTAAAATGATGGAAATTATGCAAAATATGTTTTCAACCACATGGAACAAAATTTGAAGTCAATAACAGGAGTAAAGTTACATATATGTTGAAAGTAAGTAACATACCCCAACATAAGCAATGGGTGAAAGAAGAAATAACAAAGGAAATTAGAAAATACTTTAATATGAATGCAAATGAAGACACAACATATGGAAGCTCATGGGATGCAGGTAAAGCAGTGTTCACAGAGGAATGTATGGGCATAAACATCCATATTTTAAAAAATAGAACAAACTCAAGGATACAATCTACTTTCTACCTTTATGACACTGGAAAAAGAAGAACATTCTAAATCTAAAGCAAATAGACAAAGGAAATAATAAAAATTAGAGTGAGATTAATGAACTAGGAAATAGAAAAACAAACAAAAATCAACAAAACTGAAAGTAGGTTCTTTGAAAAGGTCAATACAATTGAAAAAACTTTTAACTACATTGAACAACGAGAAGAAAAATAGTAGGGAGAAAAGATTCAAATTAATAAAATCAAGAATGAAATAGGGGCATGGGGGTGGTCATCACTACTGCGCTTCCAGAAATAAAAAGGATCATAAGGGAATAGCTCTATACCAACTAATTAGATAACTTAGAAAAACTGACACTTTCCTAGAAAAACTACTGAAACTGAACTGAAACGGGAATAGAAAATCTGAATAAATCTACGAAAACAAGAGATCAAATTAGTAACTAAAAAATTCCCACACAAAATAAAAGGGCCAAAATCCAGACAGCTTCGCTGGTAAGTTGTACCAAACATTTAAGAAAAATTAATACCAATTCTCATGAACACTTCAAAAAATAGAAAAGCAACACTCCCTAGCTTATTCTATGAAGCCAGTGTTAATTTTCATGTCAAAACCTGAAAAAGACAATCACAAGAAAAATAAAATACAGATTAATATTGCTTATGAATATAGTTTCGAAATTCCTCCACTACCTAACACTGCCAAACAAAATCTAACATATAAAAATAATTATACAAGATGACCAAGTAGAATTGATTCCACAAAGTCAAGTGTGGTCTGACTTTTAAAAATCATTTATTGTCATATGTCATATCAATAGAGTAACTCACAAAACCTACATGATAGTCTCAATAGGTGCAGAAAAAGCCTTTTGGCGAAATCCAACACACTTTCACGATAAAAACAACAACTAGAAATAGAAGAGAAATTCCTCAACCTGATAAAAAGCATTTATTTAAAAACCCTTAGCTAACATCCTACTTAATAGTGAAAGACTTAATGCTTTGCCCTAAGGTTAAGAATAAGACAAGGACATTCAGTTGTACCACTTCTATGCACTGTTAGTTCTAGACAGGGCAATTAGGCAAAAAGAGAGAAATAAATGATATCCAGACTGGAATTGAAGAATTAAAACTATGTTTACAAATGCTATGATCTTGAATACAGAAAATTCTAGTAAAAAATTATTAGAACTAATAAATAAGTTTGACAGTATAGAGAATGAAAATATAAAAATCTATTTTTATACACTAACAGTGAAAATTTTCACCATGACTAACACAATAATTCAATTTATAATAGCATCAAAAATAATAAAATAACTACAACTAAATGAAACAAAAAACAAAAAGTACAAAAGATTATGGGAAGAAATTAAAAAGAGATATAAATAAATTCAAAGAAATCACGTTTGTGGATGGGAAAATATAGTATTATTAACATGGTTATATTCCCCAAATTGATCTACAGATTCAACACAAACCATGTGTCAAAATCCCAGCTGGCATCTTTTCCAGAAATTGTGAGGATGATCTTAACATTCTTATGGACATGTAAGGAATCCACAAGAGCCAAAACTATATTGAAAAATAAGAAAATTGGAGGACTCACTCTTCCCAACTTTAAAAGTTATTACAAAGCTACAGAGATCAGGACAAAGTGATGACAGAATAAGGACAGACATACACATCAATGGAATAGAATTGAGAGTTCAGAAACAAACCGTTACATTTGCAGACAACTGCATTTCACCAAGAAAATCCAATAGGGATACGGTTTTCAACAAATGGTCTTAAGATAACTGGATATCCTCACCCAAAAATTCATTAATATAGACTCTTTCCAGGGCCGGGCACGGTGGCTCATGCCTGTAATCCCAGCACTTTGGAAGGCTGAGGCAGACATATCACGAGGTCAAGAGATCGAGACCATCTTGGCCAACATGGTGAAACCCCATCTCTACTAAAAATACAAAAATTAGCTGGGCGTGGTGGCATGCGCCTGTAATCCCAGCTACTCAGGAGGCTCAGGCAGGGCAATCACTTGAACCCAGGAGGTAGAGATTGCAGTGAGCCAAGATCTGGCCACTGTTATCCAGCCTGGCAACAGAGCGAGACTCCATCTCAAAAAAAAAAAAAAAAAAAAAAAGACTCTTTCCTCATGCCATAAGCAACTAGTTAACTCAAAATGGATCAAAGATCTGAATGTAAGTCCTAAAACTCTGTTAGAAGAATATATAGGAATAAAATTGCATTATCTTGGGCTAGGAAAAGCCTTCTTAAATATGACACCAAAACAAAAGTAACAAAAGAAAAAAGAGGTAAATTGCATGGTCTTAAAATTAAAATCTGTGCTTCAAAGTGTATGATTAAGAAAATTGAAAACCACCTACAGAATGGGAGAAAACATTTTTAAATCATGTCTGATAAGAGACTTCATTATAAAATATATAAAGAACTCTTATACCTTAATAGTACAAAGACAAACAATTCGATTTAAAAATGTGCAAATAGTTTGAATAGACATTTATCCAAAAGAACACATAAAAATGATCAATAATCTCATACAAAGTGTTCAACCAACTAGGATGGCTATAATCAAAAAGACAGAATGAAGTGTTGGTGAAGATGTGGGGAAATTGTTATCTTCATAGATTGCTGGTCAGAAAGTACACTTTTGAAAACAGTCTGGTAGTTCTTCAAAAAGTTAAATATACGGTAATAAACAATATGACCCAGTAATTCTACTCCTAGGAATGTATACCCAAGTGGACAGAAAATATATGTCCACATAAAAACTTGTACGCAAATGTGCATAGTAGCCTTATGTATCATAGCTAAAAGGTGAAAACAGGCCAAATATCTATAAACTGATGAATGGATAAACAGAATATGGTGTTGTATTAGTCCATTTTCACACTGCTGTAAAGAAATACCCGAGACTGGGTAATTTATAAAGAAAAGAGGTTTAATTGACTTATAGTTCAGCATGGCTGGGGAGGCCTCAGGAAACTTACAATCATGGAAGAAGGTGAAGCAGGCACCTTCTAGGCCTCTAGACCTGTGATGGGAGGGCTACCTCAAAGATCACTGACATGCCCTGTAGACGTTTTCCCATTGCATTAGGGCTATTAACATTTGGCTTCTCATTACTTATGCAAATTTCTGCAGCCAGCTTGAATTTCTCCCCAGAAATCGGGTTGTTCTCTTCTACTTCATGGTCAGGCAGCAAATTTTCCAAATTTCTTTTTGAGACAGAGTCTCACTCCGTCACCCAGGCTGGAGTCCAGTGGCATGATCTCAGCTCACTGCAACCTCTGCCTCCTGAGTTCAAGCGACTCTTGTGCCTCAGCCTCCTGAGTAGCTGGGAATACAGGTGGGCACCACCAAGCCCAACTAAAAATGTTTGTATTTTTAGTAGAGACGGGTTTCACCATGCTAGCCAGGCTGGTCTCCAACTCCTGACTTCCAGTGATCTGCCCGCCTGGGGCCTCCCAAATAAAGTGCTGGGATTACAGCCAATTTTCCAAATTTTTATGCTCAGCTTCCCTTTTAAACGTAAATTCCCATTTCAAATCATCCCTTTGTGAATGCTCATAACTATGCACTTTCAGAAAAACCCATGTCACATCTAGAATGCTTTGCTGCTTAGAAATTTCTTCTGCCAGATACCCTAAAACATCTTCCTCAAGTTTAAAGTTCCACAGATCTCCAGGGCAGGGGGGAAATGCTGCCAAACTCTCAGCTAAAGCATAGCAAGAATGACCTTTACTCCAGTTCCCAATAAGTTCCTCATCTCCATCTCAGACCTCCTCAGCCTGGATTTCACTGTCTATATCATTTTCAGCATTTTGGTTAAAACCATTCAACAAGTATCTAGGAATTTTCAAACTTTCCTCCATCTTCCTATCTTCTTCTGAGCCATGCAAACTGTTTCAACCTCTGCCTGTTACCCAGTTCCAAAGATGCTTCCACATTTTCAGGTATCTTTATAGCAGTACCCAACTCAGCTGGTACCAATTCTTTGTATTAGTCCATTTTCACACTACTATAAAGAACACCTGAGGCTGGGCGTGGTGGCTCACACCTGTAATCCCAGCATTTTGGGAGGCTGAGGCAGGTGCATCACTTGAGGTCAGGAGTTTGAGAGCAGCCTGGCCAACATGGTGAAACCCCGTCTCCATTAAAAATACAAAATTTAGCCGGGTGTCATGGTGCATGCCTGTAATCCCAGCTACTCGGGAAGCTGAGGCAGGAGGTGCAGGTTGCAATGAGCCGAGATTGTGCCACTGCACTCCAGCCCGGGCAACAAAGGGAGACTCCATCTCAAAAAAAAAAAAAAAAAAAAAAAAAAAAAAAAAAAAAAAAGAATACCTGAGTCTGGGTAATTTATAAAGGAAAGATGTTTAATTGACTCACAGTTCCACATGGCTGGGAGAGGCCTCAGGAATCACGGCAGAAGGCGAAAAAGCAAGGTACATCTTACCCAGCAACAGGAGAGAAGGAGTAGGCAGGGGAAACTGCCAGTTTTATCCCATCAGATCTCGTGAGAACTCTCTCACTATCATGAGAAGAGTATGGGGGAATCCGCCCCACCTGGTCCCTTCCTCATCGCGTGGGAATTATAGTTTGTGATGAGATTTGAGTGGGAGCCAAACCATATCAGGTATATTTCTACAATAGAATATTATTTGGCAAAAAAAGGATTATAGTATCAATGCTATTATGGGGATGAATCTTGAAAATATTAGCTAAGTGAAAATAGCCAGTCACAAAAGACCACATATTATATTATTTCATTTATATAAAATGTCCATAATATGCAAACCTATAGAGATAGAAAGTAGATTAGTGGTTGCCTAGAGCAGGGTGGAGGAGGACTGGGGAAAATGGGGAGTAATTGACAGTAGATACAGAGTTTCTTGTAAAGGCGATGTAATATTCTAAAATTGATTGTATTATAGTTACGGTTATACAACTTGATGAATACTATAAAAACCATCAAATTGTTTTTACATAATCTTTACATCGAAATTCATTCAACATATTGGTGAATTTGTGGTATATAAACTATATTTTAATAAGGTTGATTTAAAAAATAAAGTTGAAACTACTTCACTAGAGTTATTTGTTTGCTATATACATAACGTAAATTAACTTCAATGGTCAAATTGCACTAATGTCATCAGGTGCAACACTTTTGAAAACTAAACTTTTAAATCAACAACCACAATCATGAAATCTAATATTTCCTGAATGCTAATTTTGTGCTTGGTGCTGTTGCAAGTTCCTTTTATCTTTCTTAATATTTTGCAACAACACTCTTGGGTGGATAATGTCATTATCTCCATTCTTAAGATGAAAAAAATGAGGCAAACAGAGGTTAAGGTCACAAAGAAAAGCTTGAAAAAGTTAAATTTGGTTTACTATACATTTGCATCAAGCCATTTTTTCCATTAAGGAATTTAACTGGTGTTTCTGAGGGTGAAGAAATTCTAGTTATGTGTAGAAGGCATCTTCTTTTTCTTCCTCTTAATTAATACCAAATATGCTTTGGTTTCATACGGATTTCTCACAATTTAGGAAATGGACAGTACATCATGGCTGAATCAGTTTTCTTATACATCTTTTCCCACACTGTGAATTCCTGGAATGCATGGCTAATATCATCTATGACTCACTTCTCAACTCCCTGGAAGTGGCATTGTAAGAGTAAGTATTTGATAGAAGTACGAGGAGTGAATTAAACCTGAAAATACCACAATGGGTAATTTTCTGTTACTAGTGTTTGTTGGAAATCTCTATTTTCTCTATAATCATTACGTTAAGCAGAACATTTCAACAAACCATAGGCCATTGCAATATGGGGGCTTTTGTTTCTGAATCTTCTTCAGGGCAGAATCTATATGCTGAAATTAATAATAACTCTGCTGTTCATGGAGAATGAGTTAAATCACTCTAATAAACATGACAAAATCTCTGACATAACAGAATTTCTAGAAGAGGTTTGATTTTTAAGATTCTAAAATTTTAGCATTTTCTACAAGAAGCAATTTTTATCTTTCTCAGAAATTAAATATTCATTTCAGAATTTCTAGAATAAACATTCTGATCACAGTTTTATTCTGTGTGAGAAAGATGATCACTTATTGTATACAAAAGCTGAGCTTACATTCTTTTAAAAAATGTCAGAATGTGATTTCTCAAACTTGAAGTTTAAATACTATTATATTTTCATGTAAAAATTTTGATTCAAATTGTAAATATAAACTGTCCTGTTTATGCCTTTTAGTCTTTGTTTAAATACTTTAGGTCAAAATTGAGGATCTGTTTAACACAACTTAGTAGTGATTGATATTGTTGCAAGGCAATTCTTCGTGGCATTTGTATATGCCTTGTGACAGCTTTTGTCCCAGAATATCTTTTCAAGAATGTTTATACAGCAGAATAAATTTTTCTTTTATTTTTTAATTTTTTGAGACCAAATCTCGCTCTGTGGCCCAGGCTGGAGTGAAGTGGCATGACCTCAGGTCACGGCAACCTCCACCTCCCAGGTTCAAGCAATTCTCCTGCTTTAGCCTCCCAAGTAGCTGGGATTGCAAGCACCTGCCACCACCCCTGGCTTTTTTTTTTTTTTTTTTGTATTTTTAGTAGAGACAGGGTTTCACCACGTTGGCCAGACTGGTTGGAGCTCCTGACCTCAAGTGATCTGCCTGCCTCAGCCTCCCAAAGTGCTATGATTACAGGCGTGAGCCACTGTGCTGGGCTTGACTTTGGATAATAATTTCTCCCTCTCGGACAAAGGGCAGATTTTTTTTTTCCTGAACAATATAAGAAAGATAATATCTGCCTCTGGGACAAAGACTGGGTAGGTTTGCTAGCAATACCTTTAACAGGTCGGGGGTTCCTAAGGTCAATATTTCTCAGAATGACACAGACCCACTATGTGAGGTAGGATCCACCTGGGCCCATCGCTTTATCACCCCTGTGGGACTTGGGGGTTAAAAAGAAGTAATGCAAACATGAAGTTATGCTGCCTGCAATGTGGTGAGGAATAAAATCTTGTGTCTTTGACCCAGAAGTCTTATGTCTCTACTAATATCTATGAAACTGTGGCAAGTTACCTTGTTAGTGTGAAAGTAGGGTAAAATCTCAGAACCTTCTCAGTTCTTGACAAATATAGGCTTCTAAACATAGACTCACACAATGTGGATACTTAACATAATATGCAAATATTGATAAAAATATATTGCCAAATCCATATACCTTACTCCTATAATAATGAACGTAACAGACCAGTGTAATCTAATATGCATTCTGGCAATGGTCACCATGTTACAAATTCATTTACAAATCAAGACATTTTCTTTTTTTTTTTTTGAGACAGAGTATCGCTCTGTCGCCCAGGCTGGAGTGCAGTGGTGAGATCTCGGCTCACGGCAAGCTCCGCCTCCCAGGTTCACGCCATTCTCCTGCCTCAGCCTCCCAAGTAGCTGGGACTACAGGCGCCTGCCACCACGCCCGGCTAATTTTTTGTATTTTTAGTAGAGACGGGGTTTCACTGTGTTAGCCGGGATGATCTCCATCTCCTGACCTCGTGATCCACCCGCCTTGGCCTCCCAAAGTGCTGGGATTACAAGCATGTACCACCGTGCCCAGCCAAATCATGACATTTTCTTACACAGTTTCTATTTATTTAAAAAATGTTTAGTTTTATTATATTAAAAATTGCAATTTAAATATACTCTCCCAGATTTATCACAGAAAAACTAAGCAAAAAACAATTCAAATACAACATCACAGTTGTAAATGCTTTACCAATGGTTTCTTGTCAGATTCCTTGGCCTCCTAAGGTTTTCAAATTCAAAGCTTTTCTGTTGGCTAAAAACCAGGTACAACACAGTTATGTCATCAGATTAAGCTCTAATCCAATAAACATTGCAATCTTAATAAAACCACTCATTATGCCAGGGTGGTATCAGACCTACCTTTTAATAAGTAAATTTGTGCTATGTAGTACTAAGTAGTTGTGTATATGCATTTTTTCTTTTTGTCTGTCTTTCTAATTTAAATAGGATAAAACAAAAACGCAAGGACTATTTCTCCTTGTGCTCTGAACTACCAACAAATAGTGTCCACTATAATAAATGTTAATTGAATAAATGGACTTTGCATGTAAAAAAAAAAAAAACTGTGCCATGATTTAGGTCTATTCAACTATTAAAAAATGGCCTGGTTTTTCACATTCAGATGGTGAGTCCACCTGATATCGCTAGAGTATTTATTACTGTAAAAGCTGTTTGAGAAAATGTACATAGGAAAGTGGCCAGTTGTATTCAAGGTCATCTAATTTAAACATTATTGATTCAAGTCAAGTTTATCATCTGTGATTCTTGACGGTCCCTGTACTGCCAAATAAAATTTACCACGAAACAGTCAATGTTTATAAAATGCCAAACCTTCATTAGGTGACACCTCAATAATAACCATGGACAAGACCCTGCCTATAAGGACCCAAGAGCTGAAATTGACAGGAAGGCAGGCAAAAAACATAAACAAGTGAATTGCAAAAGCAAATGACTCCCACCATCTGCTTAGCTGTGTCTGCTCTCATGTGGCCAGGAGCCTTTTGAGAAGACACGGAAGCATGCGGGTGCCCTCTATCATATGTTATCTCTCCTCCCATCTGTGGTGCCCTCTCGTGTGCTCAATGACATTACTTTGGCTTTGCTCTTCCCTATCGAAATACACAAGGTAGCAAAAAGGGAAGGGTAGGGGTTTCATAAGCCCACAAAAACGTTGAGCATGAGGATAGGATGTGATGCTTGGCAAGTTCCACCCTGTAGGGGGCCAAACAAGGGAAAAAAAATGAAGTAAGGTTTAAATACAGTAGGCCACATGAAAATTCATTTCTTCAATAAATGTTTGCTAAACACTTGATATGTGCCAGGTACCGTTGTAGACTCTGGAAATAAGGGGGAGAAATGGACTAGGGGAGGAAAGTCCTCCTCTTTGACTTCAGGAAGGTCATAGCTTACAGGAGGTAGAAAAACAAATGTATAAAATAATTTGAATGATTGTATCTGTCGTGGAAGAGACATTCTCAAAGCTTACATTTAAAATAACAGGGAGTGAGAGGCATCTGCTGTGGGCAAGTTTGTTAAGTAGGACTTCACATGGGTGGTAACATTTAAGCTGAGACCTGAGGGGTGAGAAGAAACCCAGTAAATAATTAGTTTGAGGTAAGAATAGGGAGAAGTTTACTTGCATTAAGACCCAGGAGCAGGAGGATCTTGGTGTGTCCTAGGAGAAGAAAGCAAGCCCGTGTTCTTGGATGAATGAGCAAAGGGAAATGCAGTGTGAGAGATCAGTAATGGAGAGGCGAGCACACGGCATACCAAGTCTTGGGCTATGGTGAAGAGTTTTTATTTTATTCTGCCATTGGAGATTTTTTTTTTTTTTTTTTGAGACAAAGTCTCACTGTGTCACCTAGGCTGGAGTGCAGTGGCACAATCTAGGCTATCTGCAACCTCTGCCTCCCAGGTTCAAGTGATTCTCCTGCCTCAGCCTCCCGAGCAGCTGGGACTACAGGTGCGTGCCACCACGCCCAGCTAATTTTCATATTTTTAGTAGAGACGAGGTTTCACCATATTGGCCAGGCTGGTCTCGAACTCCTGACCTTGTGATCCACCCACCTCAGCCTCCCAAAGTGCTGGGATTACAGGTGAGAGCCACCGCGCCTGGCCGCCATTGGAGATTCCTAACAGGATAATGTAATCAAATTTACTTTTAAGAAGATAGCTTCGACTGCTGTATCCAGAGTAGACTGGGAAGAAGGCAAGTAAATTATGAGAAAAAATAACATGTAGTTGGAGTGGGATTTCAAAAGAAAAATTAAAATGGTGACTGAATTCAAATAAGAAAGTAAGAATGAAAGACAGAGGTGTTACCATAGTCACCTCTGTCAATGCCGTGGTGCCTAAAGTGTAGCAGGGTGGTCACGTTTGAATGGGGGATGTTTTTTCTTTAGGACAATATATTTATGATTCCCATGGGATGTATTGGCTACTTGTTCTGTCTTCTAGGCATCACCTGAATTCCCTAGTTAGAGTTTCATATTTATATTTCTTGACAAATATTTGCCCACTTCTAAACAGGAAACATTGAATACACCCAAAAGATCATGATAGTTGCTGGGATGACAGCTTCTGGGTCCTGATTATTTGCTATCGCTGTTTCTGATGCTATCGTCCTAAGGTTAAATATGTTGGAAGGATATTGCAGCTCTCACACAGCCATGCCAGAGCGCTACAGCCATTCCGCCTTTCGTTAAGATAACAAGTGTAGGCTCTTCTTGTTCAATGAGACCGACCACAGCATTACAAATGGCACCAGTTTAAATGCCTTGTACAACATTGCAGGGGGAAAACTACAGATTTTTCAGTGCTGAGAAGAAGCACTGTGTATCGGCTCATTATTAAAAAGGAAGAGTATGTTTCACAAAATATGGCCTTGTGGGCTAAAGCTGTCTTTCTTTGTTCCTTGGAACAGCCGAGTGTGGCTTTACATCTCAGGCCAATTATCTTTCACCGTTTTTCAGAAACTGACAAAACCTATAAAACGAGCAATGATACAGAGACAGCATACCATTCTGCAGTTTACTTTGTACCCTGCATTTGCATCTGGATTTCGGTATTTCTCGTCCAAGGGTAAAAAAATAAGTAAATAAATAAAAAATATCTAACTATGGGAACAAAATGTGTTCCAATACAAAAACAACATACAAAAGCATACAAAACAAATAGCTGCTAATTCCAGCTGTCTCTCATCTCTTTACTGGACAGCCCTCTTAAAGAAAGGGGCCTCTTCATCAATACCCTCAATTTTTTTTCCCCCTAAGATAACAGGATTTGCCAGGAGCAAATCTGAACATTCTGCTACCCTTAAAGACAGCCCTCTCTTCAGCCTGGGTTTGAGGATGTAATCTTGGTTTTTCACTGAGAGCTGTTGGAGCTTGACGTGCAAAACAAACCATCCAGGCATGTGGAGTGATTTCATACAGGCTTGCTCTCACAGGAGAAGAGCAAAGAGTCAGAGGTAGATATTAATCATGACTCTCTATGAACAACACACTGTGCTCCCTTCGGGTCGATTCTTATTCTGGACCCCCGTAGTCCCAGGAAGCCCAGAGACACTGTCCTGCAGGCTCCTTTTGGCAGTACTCCCCATGGGAGAGACAATACAGAAGAGCAGTTTAAAAATCAAAATGGGACTGAATAAAGGATATGAACATTTTCTGATTTTTTTCACTTCCACAACACACATGAAATTCACTTAGAATATACTGTTAATAAAAAGAGAGATGATCAGAGGGATGTAGAATAGAGACTGCTAAAAACTGATTTTCAGATATTCTGTAATGCTCTGCAAGAGAAAACATTGTGTCAAATGTGAATTAAATTTGAACAACAGCCTTTCAAATGCAAATCCTTCGGAAGGGATGTCATTGATATACAACCTCTAAAAACCTTTCAAAAGAAATAAAATGGATAAATGTGATAATTAAGATCTCTATATATAGGCAAATGATCAGATCACATTTGTTCTGAAATGTTTTTGCACCTGCAACATCCAGGGCACATATAAAAAGGATCGATTTTGAAATTTGCAGGTTGGAGGTGAAAATGGAATGATAGCTTGTCTGACAGGGGCGAGGATTTTCCTCTGGTATGCTGAGACCCATTATTATGCACCCATAATTGCCAAGGCCCCCCACTGACCTCTATTCACTCTTCCCCAAGTAATCTTGGTTTCAGCTCTCCCCACAGCACCTCCCCTTTTCCCAGTGAAAGGTGTTAGCTACTCTGCTATCTGCAGCAATATTCTGCTAAACAGTAGTATGTATGAGAAGCTGACTGAGCTCCTTAGGAATGCAAGGAGAAGCACTGTTTTGCATTGAGCATTTTTTGGAAACAGAGCAGAAGGTTTCCTTGCAGAGTGACTTCAGGAGACAATCTACAAGCAAGTAGGGAGGGCAGGAGAAAGTAGAGAGAGAAGAGCCTGAAAATGTAGTTATGAGTGAATCCAAAAACAAAGGGTGTGTGTCTGCCGGGTTGGGGGGAGGGGGGAGGGGAGAGAGGGTGGATGTCAGAAACGAGAGTGGCTCCCCAGAGTTGTCACAAATTGAGGCAAGTGGGAAGGGGAGGTGTGCAGGGATTTGCATTCCTGGGTCTGTCAATCTTTGGCCACAGCTGCCCTGGGGAGAGGGCTCCAGTGAGGTGGACCTCTGAGGTTAAGGGCTTGATCCAGTGAGAGATGTAGCTGTGAGACCTCTGCAAGTGCTTAGTCCCAGCAGGACTCACAGAGATGTAGTTGGATGACTATGGGGGTATGGGTGGGAGGGTCCAGGTGGAGGATGAGAGACAGCGTCCACTCCAGTCATACACATAATGGAATTTCAGTACCCTCTCCCCTAAGGATTCCTCCTCATCAGTTTGACATATTATTTTTTCAGCTTACCGATAAATTATTCTCATGAAAGGGCCTTTACCTGAGAAAACACACGACACTATTCTCTAAAATTTACACCTATGAATTGCCTCATCATATCCATTTCAACTATAATGCTAAATTCAACTACAACTGCAAGCTTATCATGGGTAAATAAGGAGAAAACCCAGAATATAGAGGGTAAGAGAAATCTCTGGTTGAGAAATCCTGGGTAATCTCATCAGAGAAACAGGGTGCCAGGTGGCCAGAGGAGCAACCTATGAGGCCTCAAAATGAGGGGATACTAAGAAGAGAAGAAACTCTGGCTATTTAGATTTGTCCACGGTCAGCTCTATACTTCACAGGAGAAGGAACGGAAATGCGGAAATGAAGGGATGAAAAAGAAGTAGGCTGCTAGGAAGATTTGGACTGGCTCCTCTCTGGCTAGTTTTTTGTCAGCGTTACTCTTTGTAAGCTTTTATCCTAAAAGTGGAAAAGCCAGAAAACAAGGGAGACAAAGCATGTTTTGGGGGATGAATTGCTATGTGAAATCTTGGTTGATCTGAGGTTTTTTTGTTTGTTTGTTTGTTTGTTTTGAGACGGAGTCTCACTCTGCCCCCCAGACTGGAGTGCAATGACTTGATCTCGGATCACTGCAACCTCCGCCTCCCAGCTTCAAGCCATTCTTCTGTCTCAGCCTCCCGAGTAGCTGGGACTACAGGCACGTGCCACCACGCCCAGCTAATTTTTGTACTTTTAGTAGAGATGGGGTTTTACCATGTTGACCAAAATGGTCTCGATCTCTTGACCTTGTGATCTGCCCGCCTCAGCCTCCCTAAGTGCTGGGATTATGGGTGTGAGCCACCGTGCCTGGCCATTCTGAGGTTTTTTGCTTTGTTTTTAATCTCAATCAACTATGACTCTGTGAGTCCTTCTAGTCTCTCACTGCCCAATCAGATCTATTGTAAATGCTATGTGCCACATTCATGCCTTCAATTTTCCTCTCATTTTCCTTAGGCAAATAGTAGCTATGATCTGGGAAAGCAGCCCTTAAGGCACACTTTTCTTTGTCAACTGGCTGGACTTGCCTAAATTGCTGATGGTATTTTTCTGGCCAGATTTTTGAGTGAAGTGGCCAAACATGCCAAGGACCGTTGTGCTCTTGCGAGATTTCTTTCAGCTGGTTCTCTACATTCATGAGGTTCAGAGGGTTTAGAAAACCATCTGAACCCTTAGGATTTTATTTGAACCAAAACCCAAACTTTGAACCTTTTATGGTTTTGCACATCAGAAGTAAATGTGTCTCCTGCCTTGATATTATTCCCTCTGGTCCCCTCCTGACTCTTTGTCCCTTGAATAAAACTGAACAGTTAGTTGGAGATCAAAACTCGATCCAAGGGTCACCTCTGATTGATGACCTTCTTTCTACAACAACCACTTTAATTAAAGACCATGTCTATGAGAAACCACTTTTCCATGGGCCCTTGGATGTATTCTCAAGACAGATTTTGCTGTCACACAGCTGCTGCATCCCCTTGCTCTGAAGAGTAGCAAGTCCCAGCAGATCACAGATCTTAACCCCATGACAGGCCAACCTATTTATGCTGGTTACTAATAATGACTTATGTTTATAATGGCACTATTCAACCCAGAGGCTTTCTCGCAGCACTCCACTGACCACATGCATGCTCTTTATTTGGGCATGTGTCTGTATACACCCACATATCACAACTGCACAAAGGTCTTGACTGCTGTGGCTTTAATCAGTCCTTTCTTCCTTTTGCTTAGCTTCGGGACCTGATCCCTGGGATTAGGGAAACCAGTGCACCCTCCTCTTTATCATTGGAAAAAACAGAACTGAACAATTGGGAGTCCAGCTCCCTATTCACTTTGTTGCTTATTAGGGTCTGTGTACATTAGCTGTGATGCTGCAAAGCAAGTTGAGAGAGACCTTGTGCAATACATATTTAATAGTGGGAACTCTCCTCCCATTTTATCTCTTCCCCTTCTTTCCTTCCATTTAATGAACCAATTATTCTGACAAGGAGGAGAATGCTCCCTTCCCAGCTCCCTCTCACTTTGAGCCTTTATTCCCTGCTTCTCTAAAGTGCTGCCTAATTTGGCATAAGACCCTATTGTAGGTTATTTTTACATTCACCATGAATTGTGTAAAATTGTTTCAGCACTTTGGAAATTTTCTTTTAAAGCAGGAGACATTATTTTATCCTCATGTGAATGACAGATAAGATGTGATGGTAGGAGAATGTCCATACCTGCGTACACTCAATTGCATTCATTTTATTTAACAACATTACAGTTTGTTTTCTATAACAGATCAAACACAAAGAAAAAAATATAGACTAAATATTAATGGATTCCCACTTCTGTTTCTGTTGAAATGCTTAAAATACAGCAAATCTACTTTTTTCATTGAAGAGTTTGTAACTATTCATTATTCATGATGAAGCATGATAGAATTTTATTAATTTGCACATTTACTTTATTTACAAGCACAAAAGTCTGCAGCAGAATTACTATAGATAACCATATGTTTTGAGTATGAAAATGGAAGCAGATTTCAAAAGTACTGTTACTATTTATCTTAAGGCATTTGTTTGTTTTCCTCTGGCGGGCAGATATCTTATTATTTGATCTTGGATGGTGTAATCTGAATTAGATGAAGCTCTTTGTCATATATCGTTTTAAAGTATTTGGTTTATCTTACAAATAAACTAAACTGAGTGACACTGCTGTAGTATCTTTAATTAGAATACATAAGAGTCTTTCTATTTTTAATCAGTACTGAGTGCCAGGCACTCTGGTAGATAATAGTTTCTATAACACGAGCAAGAAACAGCCTCTGCCTTCAAGAAACTTCTGGACCCATGAAGAACAGACTTTCTGCAACCACACATGTCATGAGAAAAATATGAGGATACACCTGTTGTTTTTGCAGTTTCAACATTCCTCTTTTGGTAACAACACTCACATTTACTTTTAAAGATTCACTGGCCCCTCTAATGTCAGTCTATGTAGCCAGGAAGGAGGTTACTCTACCTTCTTGTTCCAAGAGTCAGCATGTGTCCTGGACAATTGAATCATTCCATTTTCCCGGCCTCAAGAATAGACAAGTATCACAATAACCCATCAAGGTATTTTCTGGGACTTTTTCTAGAGCCACTGAGTTTATCAGGCTGATGGAACATACATCTGAAATTCTTGGTGCTCACTCATATTTGGAAATTAAGCCACCATGGAGAAAGCAGAGTTAAGAGATGGAGAGGATCCTAGAGATATCACCTGAACATTTGGTCCTAGCCATGACTAAAGCTAGAAATTCTATGAACTTTTTAAGTTAAGGGAGCAAATACATGCATGTTTGTATGTATACATGCATGTACATATGCCTGTATGTATGTATGTGTTTTGTCGAATGTAGTCTGAAGTGGTACACATAGATTGCAAACAAAAAATTCCAAGAATATGGGCCCAAGGAGGAGGCAGTAAAAGATTTCTGGAGGAGATTCTAAATGAGATGTACATAACTCACTGAAAGCGCCAGTGGGTATGTTGATTTCATTTATGTCTAAGGACTGGAGTTAAAAAAAAAAAATCAGAGGCCAGGTGCGGTGACTCATGCCCGTAATCCCAGCACTTTGGGAGGCTGAGGCGAGCAGATCATGAGGTCAGGAGATCGAGACCATCCTGGCTAACATGGTGAAATCCCGTCTCTACTAAAAATACGAAAAATTAGCCGGGCGTGGTGGCGGGCACCTGTAGTCCCAGTTACTCGGAAGACTGAGGCAGGAGAATGGCGTGAACCCGGGAGGCGGAGCTTGCACTGCCCTCCAGCCTGGGCAACAGAGCGAGACTCCGCCTCAAAAAAAAAAAAAAAAAAAAATCAGAGTGAATTTTACCATGAATTAATATTTAAACAAAAGATCATAGAAGGTTTTTGTTGGAAAACATATATGCAATGCTCCTGGCCTTTCACCTGTAACTTATTTGTTGAGTTCTTAGTCATGGAATAATCTTATCTATAAGTAAGAGTTTGTATTCCTGCAAAAGGTAATTTGGTAGCCCTGGGCTCTTCAAACAACTTTTTGAATTTATTCTGTGGCTCCAGCAATCAGCACTGATAGTCTATCCAAGAAAGTAAGTAAAACTTTGCTCTGAAAAGTAATTGTGGCAATTGACTATATTTAAATGTCAAGATAATAAAATATGTTGTGAGTTAATGCTTCAGGGCAGCATATGGACTAAACGACATTTCATATCCCTTCTATTTCTATGATCCCATGAGTCTATTAGACTGTCTTCCTTTCCCTATGACATTTCCGACGAATCTTTCCACACAACACAACCAGTTAGTTCTGAATTTAAGTAAGCAAGTCATGCTTCAAATTGGAGGGTACCTGTTAGTTTAAAGCTGTAGATTCTCTTCCTGTTGTGTTGTATCTGCTTCTCTGTCTTTCAGAAATATAGGATGAGGAATAAAATGGAAAGGTATAATCAGCATTTGAAATGGACCTCTCTTGTATTTCTCTGTGAATCCTCTTGACCTCCTCTTGCTTCACAGTGACCTGTTCTGAGCAGGCTTTTACCAACTTTGGGCAGATGCAATGTAAAGGGACTTGCCCTGAGCTCACATTGGTGTTCCTCCTGCTTCTTATCTTAGGACTTCTCTGAACACAGAGTGGGGAACCTGTGGGAATCCACTCAGTGCTCGCCCTTGTACAACCAGAAAATGCATAAGAGACAAATGCATGTGGATAAATGCTCCCATCTTCTCACCCCAGGTGGATACCTCTGAGAAGCATATCATATGGCTATTCAGAAGGTAAAGGAAGGAGATTAAATTCTGTCTCCATAACCACCAAGCTCAGTGTCCAACTTGACAATCATCCTAGTACTTTTTTTTCTTTCTATGTTTTATCACCCCATCCCTTACTGTGTTCTTTCAAATAAACTACCTGCACATAAACCTTTGCCTCATTTTCTGCTTTGGAAACCAGGGAAAACCCAGGCTAAATGGCACTATTAATATTTTTTCTTTAGAAAACAAAAAAAGTTCTGATATTCTGATGTCTGGTTTTCAAATGATAACATTCTTATTACTATTCTGATGCTATAACCAACAAAACCTAAACAAAAAGAGGAAATTGGGAGAGAAATATGTGCGTTGAAATACAATTTGAAGAACAATCACAATAAAACCACCTTAATTATGAAATTGTATTGGTATTGCACATATGGTTCGGACTGGAAACTCTGTAAGAATTATTCTCAATACTGTATCCTAGTGAAAGTCATTTCAAAAACAACCTAAAATTTGTAGCATCCTAGAAGCTACATCCATACTACTCAACATTTGCAAAACTCTTTAATAGATGACTGTCAGCTCTGTTTGAACACCTCCAGTTACCTGCTAATTAGTGGTAAGTTTTACAAGGCAAAAATATGGAGAAACAAATAGATGAGCATCACTTACTGATATAAATTTCCTAGAGAAAGAAATTGACTTTGGCGATCTTATGGAAGATCGTATTTTCTTCATGATATCCGAAGAGTTCTGTTTTTAGTCTGCATAGGTTTGAATCTCTATTTTAACTTTTACTAGCTTTGTAACCCTGTCTCAACGTCCCTAAATTTCAGGTTTCTCTTTGGACAAATGGTTATAGCCAAACCATTTGAGTTCAAGGGTCTTTTAAGTTAGAGTATTTTGGGAAAGCACTTAAGTTATGCCTGACACATAGTAGGCAATGAGTAACTGTGAGATAGTTTCCAATCTCAAAGATAGGGATCAATTTTACAGTCTAAAGAATAATGATAAACTGTATTTTCACATGGGTAGCCTTTAACAGGTCACTTAATTTCTCTAGGGTTCAATTTCCTCTACATCAAGTCTAGTTAAAACAGAAGGGATGGGCTTGATTATCTCTAAGGACCTTCCAATTCTAAAATGTTGCAATTTTATAGTTTTAAGTTCCCTTTTTTGTGGGACAGATCAAAGAATAAATAGGCTGGTAAACTTTTCTTTGCACACAACTGTGATTATGCAGCAAAATCATGTGTTGCTGACCTTGATCTTGACATAAATAAAAATTCCATCACAGAAATCACAGAAAATCAGAAGGAGTCCTGTTCACTATGATGCATGCTGTGTTTCTTTTGAAAAAGACACATGACATTTGGTTTGGGTTTTCTGAAGCTGTAATAACATCAAAACCTGTAGCAGAACTTCGCTAATGAGGCTTTAGGGTTGAAAAGGGAGGAAAGAAACCAGACAAGAAAGATTTGTAATTAGCACATCAATTATTTGTATGTAAGTACAATAAGTTAGTAGATGTTCCTCAAGTGCTTTAAGGAGCTTAAAAATGAATATTCTGTTAAATACTTCAAACACTTTCTTGCTTTCTGGTTTATAATTTTAATTCATACTAATATTGAAAAAGTTTACTGCTTAAAGACAAATTTTCCTTCAAACCATTTAAAATTTTTTTTTTGTTTTTTTTTGGGGGGGCATCTAAGTAATTGAGGTTTAGGCTATGGTACTAAAATATCATTCAATGATATATTTATAATTTAATGGAGAGCAAAACTGCAAGAAAGATCCTTGTGCTTTGGGAAAATGTCCAAAGAAAGACTCTACGTATTTCCTCAAAAAACAAACAAAGAAAAACAAAAACAAAAACAAAACTATCTTTTCAGTAAAATGAAGAGAAGTAATAAAATATGAGATGGCCTTCCCAACATCAAAATGGCTTTTGCCACTCTGAATTGAAAAATTATTCAATAGATTTAGGCAAGTTCCCACAAACCTCTGGATCAGTTTCTAATTACTCTCTATCTGATTTTATCCATAATAACTTTAGAAAAATTGGCAAAGTAACTTATGGAATAATAATGGGAAATGAACTTGGAGGTGATAAAGGAAACACACATCACCTATTGTTTGATGAATTGGACAAATTAAACTCATGAATTGGTGGAAAGGGAGCTCCGAAACTTTCATATCCATATCTTCAGAAGATTATTTTTAGCATCATAATGGGGGCAAAAATAACTGGCAGTTACTTAAGCCTATTTTGAAAATTTAGGAGTAATGTTTTCATAATGCAATAGTTGGTTATTTTATAGTATCCTGGAAAATTAAAGATAATGACAATATAAAGTGTCAACAGTTTTTTAATGTTGCACAAAGGAAGATAGCAGCAATATGAAATACATGCTTGAAACTGACAAAGATTATTTACTTGGCCCAACTTTAGTCAGTGTTCTAAATCTTCTGCCAGGCACATCTGTGCACTTGCTTGTAAAATCCAGCTTTAGAAAAGAACTCTGTTAAGTCACTTTAGCAAGAACATCCCATTCTCAGTATCTGATCATCTTCAATATCTGATCAGGTTCCCCATCCTCCACCATCTGCTAGGTGATTTCTGATCACACTGGCCTGTCTTCAGCAAAAATCCTCTTAGGTGGGTTTAGTCAGAATCCTCCTCACCCCTGACATTTCCTCTTAATAATTTTCCATCCACTGACTACCACACTATTCTTTGGCTATAAATTCCCACTTGCCCGTGCTGTATTGGGAGTTGAGTCCAATCTCTCTCCCAGAGTGCAAAGCCCCGTTGCAGTAGTCCCTGCACCTGTTGAGATGGTCTGGAATACAGTCTGCCTTACTGTGCTTTAGCCAATGTCATTGAACAGGTTTTCTTTAACAGTATTACCTCTGTCAAGCCCACAGTTGGAACTCCAAACATAGTATATCATTATACAAGTAAGAATGCTTTTAAATAAAGCTAATTTAATAACATATAACTCACAATCAGCATTTTAAAAAATAAAATGGAAATAATCACCTCAGAGGCAATGGGTACTTAATGCAGAACCCAAAAATAGAATTAGCATTAAACCAAAAATGGGTCCATGCTTCCATCCTACAGCAATTTGACCTGAAAATAACATTCATACTCCCACAACTACAAGATGTGAGTTTCAGACAATGAAAATATTTCAACAGTACAACGTAGAGTAGATTCCACAATATAAAAATGTCTGTGCCAAGTTCTGGCTTAACAAAATACGGAAATCCATGGGCTTAGCAGTGTTAGCGTAGACTCTCATTAGATGGACTGTGACAATAGAAAGGGTAAACAGGAAAATATCTAGGAAATGAACATGTCTCATTTAACTTGGTGCTTCATTTCTTGCTAAATAATTTGTGGCATTACTGAGTTTAAGAGAAAAAGAGACTTACAAATGTATCCTCATGCACGATGGTCCCATGAGGCATTTCTTTCACTCTTGGCTCATGGACCAATACTGTTTGGAATGTGTACCTGGGTGCTGGAGGAGAACAGATTGACTTTGTTAGTGGCTAGAAGAGGATGTAGCCCATTGAACAGACAAATGGATAGATGCTTCCTTTACATTTTATTAAGGAAAGTGGAATCCTGAAGGTTGAGAGAAGAATATGAAAAAGGAAAGAAATCAAGGAAGGTTCAATGAACTGAGTGCTTTTAGCAGAATCAGCATGTGCTAGAGTTTGCTTTCATTTACCATTCATAATATTTAAATCAAGGACTCCACACTAGCTTCTTTGACTTCACCATGCAATAAAGAACAGGACCTGCTGTCCATAAAAATCAAAGCAGAGTCGTATCTTTTTTTTTTTTTTTTTTTTTTTTTTTATACTCTAAGTTTTAGGGTACATGTGCACATTGTGCAGGTTAGTTACATATGTATACATGTGCCATGCTGGTGCGCTGCACCCACTAATGTGTCATCTAGCATTAGGTATATCTCCCAATGCTATCCCTCCCCCCTCCCCCGACCCCACCACAGTCCCCAGAGTGTGATATTCCCCTTCCTGTGTCCATGTGATCTCATTGCTCAATTCCCACCTATGAGTGAGAATATGCGGTGTTTGGTTTTTTGTTCTTGCAATAGTTTACTGAGAATGATGGTTTCCAATTTCATCCATGTCCCTACAAAGGATATGAACTCATCATTTTTTATGGCTGCATAGTATTCCATGGTGTATATGTGCCACATTTTCTTAATCCAGTCTATCATTGTTGGACATTTGGGTTGGTTCCAAGTCTTTGCTATTGTGAATAGTGCCGCAATAAACATACGTGTGCATGTGTCTTTATAGCAGCATGATTTATACTCATTTGGGTATATACCCAGTAATGGGATGGCTGGGTCAAATGGTATTTCTAGTTCTAGATCCCTGAGGAATCGCCACACTGACTTCCACAATGGTTGAACTAGTTTACAGTCCCACCAACAGTGTAAAAGTGTTCCTATTTCTCCGCATCCTCTCCAGCACCTGTTGTTTCCTGACTTTTTAATGATTGCCATTCTAACTGGTGTGAGATGATATCTCATAGTGGTTTTGATTTGCATTTCTCTGATGGCCAGTGATGATGAGCATTTCTTCATGTGTTTTTTGGCTGCATAAATGTCTTCTTTTGAGAAGTGTCTGTTCATGTCCTTCGCCCACTTTTTGATGGGGTTGTTTGTTTTTTTCTTGTAAATTTGTTTGAGTTCACCATCAGAGTGAACAGGCAACCTACAACATGGGAGAAAATTTTCGCAACCTACTCATCTGACAAAGGGCTAATATCCAGAATCTACAATGAACTCAAGCAGAGTCGTATCTTATAAAAATGGTAACTCCTTGTCAACTGAGTCTCCCTCTGCTGCCTGGTAATTAGAGCATTTGACACCACCTGACACTTTATACTCATATAAAAATTTCAAACATACCATGCAAGAGATTCACAGATCAATCCCCATCTTCATGAAACCGCTGGAGTGAGGCAGAAAAGCTATTTTGAATGGGCTCAGCAGAGCAGAACACAACTAAATGTTTTCCCACCTGTACCGGAGTTGGTTCCTAATGAAGTTTAGATGATTAGCGGTAATGTTGAGGAAAATAGTTCTGACATGGCACTATCACCCAGTTCATTTTTCACACACTTACATGCAATAACAATAAATATTATGTTTGAGTTGATCTTGATTAAAGCACTGATTTTCCTCCACAAATGCTTATACCACAATATAGGGCTATGACTGAACGTATTCCATTGAAAACAAATTACTTATCAGATATGAAGCTCAGGTGTTACCAAATTTAATTTATTGCCACTTAATTTTGGTGCAGTTCATAGAAATTTTAGGTAAATAAAGCAATATTCTTTGACAGTAGGGAATATAATTCTATAGTTAAACACAATACTTAAAAGAAATGTAGTATCTTGGGACATTATTGGAAAATACTTTGCTAGGCATTCCTTTGACAGAAAGCTTGCCAATACTTTCCCAAGACATGATTTTCTGGAACTCATTAATAGGCTTAATAGTTATAACCAAATTGGTTTAAAGTAATATTTTGAATGGTTCATTGGCTGGAATGTTTTGTGTATTCAAATATAGTGAGTTTAATTGGTTACAAGAGTGTTTCTTACTGGATGATCTATTAATTACACATGCTAAGACTGCTCTGTATAAATACAGACAAACAAGAATGATTTCCCTGTTTAAGTACTTAGAACTGCATTGGTATTTCAGCTAGGTAAAACTGACAGGTTTTCTCTAATTCCTAGATGCAACATCTGTCTCCAAGGGAGAAGGACTTTGTTAGCATCCAAAAGCAACACTTAAAACAAAAGAGTGGGCTACTTTGCTCCAATCAGAACCTTAAACAGTTCTATTAGAGTTCGTTATGGGTGTTTATTTCCTAATAGGGGTACTCTGCTGTTGAAGGAATTCACACATCTTTACTCAATTGGAAAGTGCCTCATTTTCCTGGAGACTGGTTTTTAGTTAGATGTCATACTGTCTCAACTATCTGCACTCTATATTTCTGTTTTTTCTAAGGTCTACCAGGGAATTGATTGGATTTCTGTGTGGTAGGAATCTCACTTGTGTGAGAAATCTTACAACTGAACTTATGACTACTTTTAGCATAATATAATAGCTGTGAGCAAAAATTTAGAAGGTCAGAATGTCTAGGTTTGAATCCTGGTTCTGAAAAAGTCTTTATGTGTAAGTCTTTGTTGTATTTATGCAACAGTTTCTCAAAAGTATATACCAAGTAGTAGCACTGTTTGGCTAAGGATATGTAAATATTCAGCTTGATTAATTGGAGCTATCATGCTAATTTCCAGGTGGTGCATCAATAGATATGTCCACCATTATCAGATGCAAGTATTCATTGTCCCACATCTTTTTTAATTCCTTTTTTTTTTGTGAGAAAAGATCTCACTCTTTCATTCAGGCTGGAGTTTGGAGTGCAGTTGCATGATTGTGGCTCACTACAGCTTTGAATTCTTGGGCACAAACAATGTTTCTACCACAGTCTCCTGACTAGCAGGGAATACAGGCATACACCACCATGCCTGGCTAATTTGTTCATTTTTAGTAGACATAGAGTCTCACTATGTTGCCCAGGCTGTTCTCAAACTCCTAGACCCAAGTAGTCCTCTTGCCTTGGCCTCTCAAAGTGGTGGGATTACAGGCATGAGACACCACACCCGGCCTGTCCCATATCTTTGTCAACACTTGTCATTGCCTGGCTTTTTGATATATGCTCACCTGGAAGAAACAATATTATTATGTTTTTTTTTTTTTTTCGAAACGGAGTTTCGCTCTAGTTGCCCAGGCTGGAGTGCAATGGTGCAATCTTGGCTCACTGCAACCTCCACCTCCTGGGTTTGAGTAATTCTTCTGCCTCAGCCTCCAGAGTAGCTGGGATTACAGGTGCCCGCCACCATGCCTGGCTAATTTTTTTTTATATTTTTAGTAGAGACAGGGTTTCATCATGTTGGCCAGGCTGGTCTCGAACTCCTGGCCTCAAGTGATCCACTCACCTCAGTCTCCCAAAGTGCTGGGATAACAAATGTGAGCCACTGCTCCTGGCCTATGGTTTTAATATAATGTGAATAATACGGTTGAACATCTTTTCATATATTCATGACCAATTTATGCTTACTTTTTAATGTTCATTGTTACTCATTTCTTTTTCCCATTTTTATATTTGGTTGCTTTTTTTTGTCTTATTGAGTCACTTGAGTTATTTACATATTGAGTCATTTACTCAAACTTCTAGAAACTCATATTCCTTGCATTACAATAAGGATAATATTGGAATTTGAATGATTGTGCTGCAATGAAGAATGCATGAGTTAATAGATTTAAAATGCTTAAGATAGAGCTTTGCATAGATGAAGAGCTAGTTAGTATTATTATTACTAAACATATGTTTGCTATGACTATTTCTACTTTGTGAGATACACTAGGTAAGAAAGCAATTAGTAGTAAACAAAGTTGTATAAAAATTCCAATCTGCCAGCTTCATCTTTCCCTGTAGGATACAGAAAGTCACAAGAGAATGTCACTCCCACCCAAATAATAAAAATATTCTAACCTACAAAATCACAGTTTATGGAAGCCCATTGGAAAGCTGAATTAAAAAAAATTCAAAAAAATGCCAAACCCCTACTGAGAAAGAAGGAAGCCATCTCTGCTTTTCTCCTCGACAGAGCACCTGAAAGGGGTAGAAAATTCTGTAAATGCTGATAAAAAGCAACCAAATACATTTCAAAAAGTGAAAGTCTGAATGCATATTGGAGTGGCAGTCTAGAATCCCAGGTTATGACAGGAACAAATGATATCTGCACCAACATTTTTGTCCGCAAGCCTTCACCAAATGTTTTTGAGAAAGACTAGAGGTAGTGCCTGATAGCTGGCTCTTACTGAGACAAAGGTAAAGTATGTGGCTTCCTAATATCTGAAGGTGGGGCTTGAAATTTAGAAAAACCCTATGGGTAATCCAGTATTTACCATGAATACCTAGAAGCTATTGGCTGTCACTGGGGAAGAAAGAGGAGAGCTGAGAGTACCACTACATCTCCCTAGCCACCTATGAAACAGGTTCACAGGGCCTGCTGAAGTCTGAGGGTATAGACTTAGAAATTAGAGAACCTTGTGGACACGCTAAACCATGTCTACTGATTATGAAACAGTGACTATCTATGGCTATATAGATGGAGATGGGGCAGGAAAGCTGAAAGAAACACTCCTGAGGCAGAAGCACATGGGGCCTGTTGAAGTTTGAAGGCAAAATCACAAGCAAAAAGTATGAGAGAAGTTCTACAGCCTGTTAAGGTGTTTTACAGCATACCAGGTAGGATCCATCTACAAAGAGGAGAGATAGAAAAAAGAGGCACATGCTGTAAGTTTACAAATCCCATGTCAAATAATTTTAAGCTCATGGTGAAACGAATCTAACTTAAGCAACAACAACAACAAAAAACCCAGACTCATTTCAAATATAGACTAGCCTGGAAATAGACTGACATAACCCACACATTAACAGCCAGAAAGAGGAAGCATGACCTTTTGTAGGTAAAAATATTATTTGCTTTAGTCTTTATTTATATTAGACATTCAATAAAAAATCATAAGACATACAAATAATAAAACATTGTGATTCATTATCAAGAGAGAAAATGGTCAGTATTAGAAAATATATAACCCAGATGTTGAATTTTTATAGGGCATCTTTAAAATAACTATGATACATATGTTAAATAGTATAGTGGAAAAGGCTCACAACATTCATGAACAGATGGGAAATTCCAGTGGAGATATGGAAACTAAGAAAAAGCGCCTAGATGGCAAAATTCGAAATGAAGGAAGAAAAACTGATAGAGATAAAACAAAATCCCTTTGATGAGTGTACTAGCAGATAGAGAATAACATTGGATAGAATCAGTAAATGTGAAGACAGATCAATAGAAACAAAAAGATGAACAATAAAATAGTGTGCCCAAGATCTGAAGGACAACATGAATTGGTCTAACATATGTGTGATCAGTGTGATAGAAGGAACATAGAAAGAAATTAGGACAGAAGAAATATTTGAAGAGATAACGGTCGTGAATTTCTCTAACATTTTTGAAAGAAATTATCTAACAGATTGAAGAAGTTCAGTAAACTACAAATAGGATAAATAAAAAGAAAAACAAATCAAGGCATGTCATGTCAAACTCCTGAAAATGAACAGAAAATCTTGAAAGTGGCCAGAGGAAGACACACATAAAGGCAAAATGAAGAGAATGGCAGCTGACTTCTCAGTAAAAACAACAACATGACACCTGTAAGAGTGAAAAAAAGGCTGGGTGCTGTAGCTCACACCTGTAATCCCAGCACTTTGGGAGGCCAAGGCAGGAGGATTGTTTGAGTCTAGGAGTTCAAGACCAGCCTGGGCAAAATAGTGAGACCCCCATCTCTACAAAAAATAATAAACTAGCTGAGCATGGTGGCGGGGCCTATGGTCCCAGCTACTCAGGAGACTTAGGTGGTGGGAGCCCTTCAGCCCGGGAGTTCAAGACTGCAGTGAGCTGTAATGGTACGACTGCACACATCCTAGGTGACAGAGCCAGACACTGTCTCAAAAAAAAAAAAAAAAAAGGCACAAAAAGAAGTAAATCTGGTATTCAAGATCCAGCAAAAATATACTTCAAAACTGAAGCAAAATAAAGGCATTTCAGACAGACAAATCTGGGAAAATTTGTTTTCAATAGACAAACCCCACAAGAAATTTCTTAAAAAAATTTTTTAGCCTAAAAGAATATACTGTCATGTAGAAATCCAATTTTGCAGAAAGGATTGAAGAACATCAGGAATAAGCATGTTAATAAATATGAAGGGATTTCGTCTACATAGATCAGTGGTTAGATAAATATGTTAGATTTCTTTAAAAGTATGTGGCTATTTAAATATAAATATAACAATGTGATATGGTATTTACAGGATATGTTAAGGTCAACATATGAAAACAAGAATGCAAAGGCAGGGAGTAATAACTAAAAGTACACTATTTTAAGGTTGTTATTTGCAAAGTACTTATTGGCAAAGTAGTAGACATTTTTTGAAGTGAGTCTTGAGATAACCTCAAGATCTACATTCTAAACTTTCAACCAGTAAAAATTAACAGAGATGCATGATTAAAAGATCGATAGAGGGGAAAAAGGAGATAATCTATTCTATTCAATAAAATAAGGAAAAAAAGAGGAATAGAGGGATTAAAAGCATTTAGAACAAGGAGAAATCAAACACCAAGATGTTAGACTTAAACCCAAGTGTATCAACAATTACATTAACGTAAATTGACTAAAATCCCAAATTAAGACAGATTTTTCTGACTCAATGAAGAACAAGTCCCAAGCACACATTATTTTTAAAGGAAACACATTTAAACATCAAGATACAGACGTGTTGAAACTAAAAGGAAGGGAAAAGTTATGTCATGCAAAAATTATCTTTAAAAAACTGCTGTGGCTAAATTAAAAAGTCAACTTCAGGACTTCAGGATGAAGAATAGTACCAGATCTAAAGAGAAGCATTGTAAATTATAAAAGTCAAATCATCAAGATCATATAAAATATGATTTTAAAAATTCTGTGTATATGGTGAATCATATTCATTGATTTGCATACGTTGAACCATCCTTGCATCCCTGGAATAAAACCCAATTAGTTGTGGTGTAGTATCTTTTTGATGTCTATGGATTTGGTTTGTTAGTATTTTGTTGAGGATTTTGCCTCAAATGTTCATCAAGGATATTTGCATCAAATGTTCATCAGGGATATTGTTGTTGTTGTTCTGTGGCTGCCTGGCTTTCGTATCAGGGTGATGCTGGCTTTGTAGAATGAGTTAGGGAGGATTCCCTCCTCCTCTACTTTTTGGGACAGTTTCAGTAGGATTTGTCTCAGTTCTTCCTTGTATGGTCTGGTAGAATTCAGTTGTGAACCCCTTTGGTACTGGGCTTTGTGTTGTAATTGGGAAACTATTTTATTCCTGATTCAATTTCACTGCTTGTAATTAGGTAGATGTAGAAAAAACATTCAATAAAACCCTCAAAACACTAGGCATAGAAGGAACATACCTCAAAATAATAAAAGTCACATATGGCAAACCCACAATCAACATCATACTGAATGGGGAAATGTTGAAAGCATTTCCTGTAAGAACTCGAACAAGACAAGGACGCCCACTTTCACCATTCCTATTCAACACAGGACTGGAAGTCCTAGCTACAGCAACCAGTCAAGGGAAAGAATGAAAGGCACCCAATTTGGAAAAAAAAGAGGAAGTAAAATTATCTCTGTTCATGAATAGTATTAATATAATCTTACACCAGAAACCCCTAAAGATTTCTCTGAAAGACTCTTACGTTTGGTAAATGATTCAGTAAAGTTTCAGGATGCAAAATCAATTCACAAAAATGAGCAGCATTTCTATACAGCAACAACAATCAAGCTAGGAATCAAGCCAAGAACTGAATCTCACTAAAAATAACTACAGATAAAATAAAATAAGATAAAATAAAATAGAATACCTAGGGATAGATTTAATCAAGGAGGTAAAAGATATCTACAAGGAGAACGAAAACACTGATGCAAGAAATTGTAGACGACTGAAACAAATGGAAAAACATTCTACACTCATGAATTGGAAGAGTCAATATTATTAAAACAACCATGCTTCCCAAAGCAATGTACAGATTCAATGCTATTCCTATAAAATTATCAATGTCATATTTCACAGAATTAGAAAAAAGAATCCTCAAATGTATATGGAACCAAAAAAGAGCCTGAATAGCCAAAGCATTCCTAAGCAAAATCAAACAAACAACAACAAAAAACCAAAGCTGAAGGCATCATGTTACTCAACTCTAAATTACATGCCAAAACAGCCTGCTACTGGGGTAAAAATAGACACATAAATTAATGGAAACAGAATAGAGAATCCAGAAATAAAACCATATAACCTGCAACCAACTGATCTTTGACAAAATTGGCAAAAATAAACAGGAGAAAGAACACCCTGAAGAAATTGCCACTAGCAATCAGTAGGACTTGGATAGACCAGAGCGTCAAGATTTTGAGTAGCTGAACTTTAAATATTTAAGAAATATTTTAGTTTCTATTCATTTTGCTGTAGTTTGGCCAGTGTTTAAATAATAGGATGTCATATGTTTCAGGATGGGAGAGTGAATAAACACACACTTCTAAGAAAGAATGTATGGTTATAGAAGTACAATATTCTGAGTTCTTTTTTTTTTTTTAAAGGTGGGTCTTTCTCCTAATTGTGTGATTTCGTAACTCATTTGAATAAACAATGAATAAACTAGAGTTTCAGGATAATAACTACGTGGACTCAGTGCCTTGGCATTCAGATATTAGGGCTTAAAGAAATGCATGCAGATTCCACTATATAAAGGAAGCTTTTGTTTTCCCTAAGTGACTCTGTTAAAATGAACTTTTACTACTTCTGGAATACACATTCTTCACTTACCAGTGATACACCACTGGTAGCTGCTACAAGGTAAATTTGAAGACTCCCACCTTCCCTCTTCTCAGAAAATATCTGTCCTTTCCTAAAGATCTGTAACATCTTCACATCTTTCCTTCAGTGTCAAATGCAAATACGACAGGAGAGGTCTCCAGGTTTAGTAACTGTATTTTGATGAGAGCAGTTTCTCCAGGCCACTTTTCTCTGGACCACAGAAGTGGGGAAATATAAGTGTCTTGGGCTTGGTTCAGGTCTGCTCCTGTACTGTAAAGCAGGGGTCCCCACATCCCAGGCCACAGACCGATACTGGGTGGTGGCCTGTAGGAACGGGGCTGCACGGCTGGAGGTGAATGGCAGGTGAGCAAGCAAAGAGTCACCCGTATTTACAGCTGCTCCCCATCCCTGGCATTACCGCCTCCTGTCAGATCAGCGGCAGGATTCGTTTCTCATGGGAGCGCAAACCCTACTGTGAACTGCGCATGTGAAAGATCTGGGTTGCGTGCTCCTTATGAGAATCTAATGCCTGATGACAGGCCACTGTCTCCCATCATCCCCAGATGGGACCATCTAGCTGCAGGAAAACAAAGCAGGGCTGCCACGGATTCTACATTATAGTGAGTTTTATAATTATTTTATTATATATTACAATGTAATAATAATGGAAATAAAGCACACAATAAATGTAATGTGCTTGAATCATCCTGAAACCATCCCTCCTCCACCCGGTCTATGGAAAAATTGTCTTCCACTAAACTGGTACCTGGTACCTGGTGCCAAAAAGGTTGGGGACTGCTGCTCTGAAGAACTAGTTAACAACTCTAAAACACCTTGTACATTCTGAGGTCTATATCACTTATTTTTAACTTTTAGGGAGCCCTGAATTCCATCAGGATCGTGATAAAAGCCATGAATCATGTATATCAGAAGAATGCCCACATGCACACAGTAGCACCACAAGAAGCTACAAAATTTTGCATATAACTTCAGGGCAATTGTGGAGCTCCCAAAAGTAGCTGAGGTTTCCATAGACACTAGGTTAAGAAGTCCAGGTCTATAGCAATATTAGGGATTATTATTTTGAATTATATTGGGAAATCTTCTGAAAAGCAAACAGGAGGCAGCAACTCTCTACTCAACTTTCTTCTTTCTCAGGTACCTGATTGTATGCCAATTCTCTTTTACCTTTTTCTTATTACTGCAATTCAAATGTTACGATTTTAAAAATAAATTACTGCAGTTAAATTACTGAATTAAATTTTAAATTATCAATATTTAGCAACAATATTTATTTTTTAATTGATATATTAACATCCTCAAGTAAGTAAAATTGATCTTGTTGTTTATTTCTGTTATCACCGTTACTAAATCATCTGCATGCATTTTTATATAAACATCCAGACTTAGGGGCTTGAATTGGGCAATTTAACAATGTAATAATTCAAGTTTTATTTCCCATTCTTATCTATTGTTATACATCTGGAAATATTTTTTATCGATATTGGAAAATAAACTGGGAGTTTGAGTCTAAATTAAAACGGATCACATCTTTGTTCTCGTCTCGCCTCTGTTTCTGAGTATATGGCTGACATATACTCACCCTAATACCCTGCCCCCTCTTTCAAGGCACTGACTTTGAAAGCATTCATGGAATCAGACACTTCTTGTGTTGAAGGAATATAAAGTTTCATAGGGTTTTAAAATGTAGTTTAAGAACTTTATTAGGAATTCTCAGTAAACATTTCCACACTTCCACTAGATTCCAGTCTAAAACAAACAACCTATGTAGCTTGGTTACTGGCCAAGATTAAGTTTAAGATTCTTTTCATAAGCTTCTGTCCCTCTCGCTACTATGATATTTTGATTCTACTTCAAAGTTATATTCAAAGTTGAAAAGTTATAGTAATTTATTAATATTACATGCCATTGTGACTATTGGCAAAGCACTTTGAAATAAAAATAAAATTGTGACACCATCACAATAAAACTTCCCCAAGTTGTAAATGGATTGAAAAATCTAAATGAAAAGAAAACCATAAAATATAAGCATATTTAAAGTGATTTCTGAGATAGGGAGGGAGACGATGGCTTTTCCAAACCTGAGGTGTAAGTTATATTGATAATTTTGAAAAGCAAGTTATATAATCTCATTAAAATAGTATACATGTGTTTAAAGAGTTACAAGACAAGAAGTATGGAAAAAATGTCAAACTCCTAAGGGTAAGATGGATCGTGCATGGCTTGGGACGGACATTTATAACGTATGTTATTCCTATATTGCTTGAATTTGTTACAATAGTATTGATGACACCTGTAATTAGAAAAAGTTGATAACAATAACAAAGGGGTAGAGGTTATTCCTTCATCTTGACTACTTTTGTTCAATTGTATACAGTAATAAAAGATTTCTAAATATATTTTTAACTTTCAATACAATGTTTCCCATGTTTTTGTTTGTTTGTTTGTTTTTTGTTTAGAGACAGAGTTTCGCTCTTTTTGCCCAGGCTGGAGTGCAGCGATGCAATCTTGGCTCACTCACTGAAACCTCCACATCGTGGGTTCAAGTGATTCTGCCTTAGTCTCTTGAGTAGCTGGGATTACAGGCACCTGCCACCACACCCAGCTAATTTTTGTATTTTTGGTAGAGACAAGGTTTCACCATGTTAGCCAGGCTGGTCTCAAACTCCTGACCTCAGGTGTTCCTCCCGCCTCAGCCTCCCAAAGTGCTGGGATTACAGGCATGAGCCACCATGTCCGGACTGTTTCCCATGTTTGTACATGAGAATGAACAGCGTGCCTTATCAGTATAAAATTATGAAATGAATTATTTATATATTACATGTATATTTATAATTCATTTATTTTATATATATGTATAAAATTAAACCTGGTAAGATATCATTATGCTGGAAGGAGAGTTACATGTTCTAGGCTGTCAAATCCACACACTTGTTGACAGTATTTTCATGGATGGTAACAACTTCATATATGCAAGACAGAATTATGGACTGTATGTTTAAAGAAATCTAAGATAGCTCAAAAAGAAACAAAAGGAATTTTAGAATTGTATTAGGACTTTCAATACAGGAATTTAAATTGCACTGACATTATGTCATCGTAAGATATTTTTTCAAGGAATTAAAGATTTCTGACTCCAGATATATGTTTTCATCTATCAGAGAGAATACTCATAATCAAATAAAACACTGGATGTTAGAATATTCTGAAAAAGAATAAAACTTGATAAAATAATTACGGATTTATATTATTATATTTATATTATTATTTTTGTTCACTTAAAATATATTTTAAATAGTTTGATCACTAATGGCATACACTTGTTTTGCTGAGAATACTGATAATAGATTCGCTGGTAAATATTTTATATAACTCAATCCCAAAATGTCTATCCAACGTTAAAAATGATGAACATGGCATTCAGACAAATGCAACCAGCCCTTGGGAAGAACCACATCTTGGCTTCTGTTGCAGCGCTGAGAAACTGGACTATGCTATGTCCAAGTCATGAGGCTTTTAGCAGTGGCAATTTCACAAAAAAATTGGCTTGGGAAAATAATGCTAATTATTTTCCATAGACAAATTCACGAACTAAGTAAAGCCTCAAAGTGTTCATGCCCATCAAAAATGTTATTAATATATCTAGCTATCTAGTTAATATAACCATTAAGATATAGATACATCTAGGAAAACTTTCATGTGAACTGAAAAAATTATATAGAACACTTGTTTTTAAATACTCATTCTTTTGAGTTTTCAGACCAACAGCTCAGAGATTGTCATGTATTTTGGATAAGCTCTAGGCAAAATATCACACTGCCAACATACTAATCTGATATTGATAAAGAGCCACAGTTGTGGTGGTGGTAGTGGGGGAATTTAAGCAGGAATAAGATCGGACCCAACTACATGTTTGTGATACCATTGGCTAATTGAGAGCATCGCAGACATTCCCAATATTTTGCCAGAATCAAAGGAAAAAATATACAAAATGTCTGAGAGAATTTTTGACTCAATCCCATTAATAAGTACAAAAAGACTAGGGACTGTTTGGAACTCCAGAGAAGAAGAAAAATGAGATTGAACCACTCCTTTGGGCAAGCATGGATTTTGGATGAACTGTGTATGCACTCGGTGGTCATAAAAAAACATTAGAGTCTTTCCTCATTACCTTAAGTTTGTTTGACCATATGATTTGATGTTCTTTGACCTTGAAAGTGATCGAGATACTGAATTTACTAATAATTTACTATTAGAAATATGGTAGGGATAGGTAACGTATAATCTTGTTATAGATAATGTAACTAATATGTAACATGTAGTAGCTACAGATAAGCTTTAAACTTTCAAACCTTTGTTCTGGCTGTAAAATGTCAGTTGGATCCATTTTGGTGCTTTTTATTACTGCATCAAAACCATGCTGTGAATTTGTAGCTGCCATAAATGCTTAATGTAAGAGCTCATTGTGCAATAAAGTGTCAGAACACTGTTTTTAAACACGTTTTTAAAGCAACATTTTACAGCTTACATTTTTTTTCCCACTGCGTCCTATAAAAAGTACAGATTTTCAATGTCACATTCATAAGGAGAGCATAATCATTCCTGGGAAAGCCAAGTACGGTGAGAATTAAATGGTTCCTATCCAGCCTTTTTATAAACCCTGATTTTTCTCTCCTGTTTGGTTAGGCCACTCTGTCTTCCTCAAAAGAGAAAATTGCAACCTTGAATGAAGATGGCGTATTTAGAGATGAACTTTGGTCAAAACCCTTCGATTGATTTAAACTTTAAACATGAGGATGAGCACCAAGAAACAGAAAGATGTGGCTCTCCATTTCGTCTCAGATTATCTTGCACGTCACAAAATAACTTTATTACATATTTACCATCTAATATATCCAAACTCTTTACTGAGAATATTTCTCCTTTAACATCATTTAAGTTGGAATTTTATTTTCACCTGGAATCTCCTCTTCCTAACCATCATACCAACTTCTCATTCTCTCAAGGTTGAAAGAATTAGCTTATTTTATCTGATGGTCACTTGATTATTAGTACACCTTCAGATTTTCTTTTTATTTTTCTAATTATTTCACATCTTGAATGAACTGACAGTCTTTGAGATCAGAGCCCTCTAGTAGCCAAACTGAGGTTCCACTGGGCAGAAATTTCACTGTAAGCTTCCCCTTGTCTGCTGCAAACTGGTCCATCTTAAACCAAAAATTCTCATAGGATTTACCCTGAATTTCTGTTTCCATCTGTGATTGGCAATATCCTATAACCATGGGTACAACTGCATTCTCTCTACTTTTTAGGGTGGATAGAGTAAAGAAATTGTTACTGAAATAAAGTTTTCAGTATCTCTGTAGACTGCTTCCTAACCTTCTATAGGGCTGATACATGAGAAAACATCCTTCTTGTGGAATGTGTCCCTCTTTGCCTGCAGACTATTAGATGTGAGTCTCAAAGCATGGAGGAAGAGGTTTTGTCTGTTATTTCTAACCATCATATTCCTAGAAATTTGGCACCAGGCTGAGCACATAATGGCACTCAGTAATATCTGTTAGACATGTAAATAAATGAATATGAATACATAACTAAAATATATTGTGTTCTTACAATCATTATTGTTTTAATATCGAAAAAGTTTGATTTAAGATTTGCAAGTTCTCACATTAGCATTGTTTTTGAAGCAATGACAAGCAAATTGGTCTCAAGGTCAATTTTTAAATAATCCTCAAAACAGACTGGACATTTGAGTCTAGACAAATGGCTCAAATCCAGAGTTTAGGAAGATATTTCTTTGACTTGAGTCTTTTCCCTTTTTCTCCCCAGCTCATACACAAAGTACCTTTTTCCCCCTAGCTCAAGAACACAGAAATAAGGCCTCATAAAATAGATAAGAGTTTTTTTGTGGAGTGGACTGAGCCAACAATTAACTTGTTTGATTGTAAACCGATCTGAACTAATTTCACATATTATAACATAACGACTCTCTTAAGAGACAAGCTTTTGAAGCTAATGCCATCAAGAAAAACAACACTAACTTTGGAGCTAGTCTGGTAAACATGAAAATAAGTTGGTGATTTATTCTTATTCAGACGAAAGCACTTAATTTTTTTAAAGCCCCACGAAAAGTGCCAACTATAAAATGCCAGAGATGAAAAGGAAATGCAAACGCACACAAGAAGGCGTTTACGAAGTTAGTTTCACATTCCACCACCATTTTTTCTTTCTTTCTTTTTTTTTTTTTTTTTTTTGGCCACCTGTCATGCATCTGTTTAATATGCATGAAGTTGGCAAAATATTTTTTCCTTACTACCTAGTGACAGCCTAGGCATTTAGAATGCCCAGTTTTTTTTCTCTATTCCAAGGTATGACAATTTATTACCCGTTTAATTTTTTAGAATGTTTTCTAACTGTAGAAGTTGAAGTTTTACATAACCTTACTACCTCCAGCCACATCAATCATTGCCTGAAGTTTATCTATAATTTGTTACAAACAATGATGCCAATGAAAACCACATTCTATTAGACTAAAAGACAGAGACCAAGCTGTTTAATTTCTCATCAGCTGCTTTCGCCATAGCTTCCAATAGTTTTGATCTGGCTTCTTTTAGATGAGGAGTATATGAGTGAGTGCATATTTAATTAGATCGCTAATTTTTAAAATTAGTTTTTGAAAGTTTAAATTGTTCTGCAGATTTATAAGATAATAAATCCTACCTCAGGAATCAACCCTGGATTTATTTTTTCTTCTGTTAAGCTACTTTTACTCCATAATTTCGTGCCCTTTGAGGAATACCTTAAAAATTCTGAATTACTTGTATTTGAAGCATCTTTGGGATGATTAGTTGTTCAGTCTCAGAAATCCTGGTCAGGGACTTAAGGTATTAAAAATGATCCAAAAAAAGAATATTACCTTTTAAAAATTAAATCCTCCAAACCTTCCATTTTAAAGTGCTAAACGGATAAAATTCAATTAGGGAGTGAAGATAGCTTGACAACAGTGTTCTAATTCTTATTTTCTACTTGGTTATAAATGATAGGTGACATCATAGTCTATATAACCTACCGCTTGAAGACTCAGCAGCAGAAAAGAAAAGACAAAAGGACAAGTGTGGTGGTGAAGAGGAGGACGTTTTTCAGGGCAGAGCTCCTGGGAAAAACCAGGATATGGAACTTGATGCCGCAATGTGTATTAGAGTCAATGCAATTCCTGGTGTTCATCAATGCTACAAGAGACTCTGGTGGATTACTCCATTATGTACCAATATTAAAAAGAGGAGGAATTAGCTTGTGTTAAACTAGCCAATGCCTTAAGTAGATAATATTTAAGATGATCACAAAGCCCCTGTCCCTATTCCTTTTTCATTTGGTGAGATTCATAAATGATTATTTGCTTCTTCTTACAGAGACAAGGGATATGTTTTCCTTAGTTTCCCCAGCACAGAAACAGGGATAATTTTTTGTTTTGTTTTTTTTTCGAGACAGGTTCTCACTCTGTCACCCAGGCTGGAGTCCAGTGGCACTCTCTCAGCTCACTGTAGCCTCCGCCTCCCAGGTTCAAATGATCCTCCTGCCTCAGCCTCCTGAGTAGCTGGGATTACAGGCACCGGCCACCATGCCCTGCTAATTTTTGTATTTTGGGTAGAGACGGGATTTTGCCATGTTGCTCAGGCTGGTCCAAACTCCTGGGCTCAGGTGATCCATCCGCCTCGGCCTCGCAATATGCTGGGATTACAGGCGTGAGTCACTGCACCCAGCTGATAAAATTTTTTTTTTTAAACCTTACTGAAAGCCATGTTTTTATGCTTTCAAAATAGACAAATACAAAGATATACAGGAGGTAAAATTATAGTTCATTAGTTCACTCATTTTTTTACTTATTCTACAAATATTGTTAAGCACTAGGCAGTGATCTGAGTACCAGAAATATAGCAGAGGGTGAAACAGATACATCCAGACAATCAATAAACAAATAAATACCTTATATATCAGGTGGTTATAAGTAAAATAAAGAAAACTAAGTAAAGATTAGGTGATAGAGAAAGAAAGAGTAGTAGTCTCATTATAAAAATGTGGAGAAAGATTCAAAAATTTTAATTCAATGGGAAAGATACCACAGGACTATCTGGGAGTGAAACTTCACCAATCAGAGGGAACAATGAAGAAGTGATCTGCATTTTCAGCTACCTTAAAAGATCCACATCGCTATGAGATATAGAACGCGTTACCCTTGGACACAGCTGTTTCACTTTTAGGTCTCTGATCTGGGGGTAATACTTGCATGTATTTTCACTACAGCACCGAAAGAGTGAATGTTGAAAATGACATAAATATCCATCAACATAGGGTAAAATAAATTATAATTCATCCATCCTATGAAAACTCAGCAGCAATGAATCACAGGCAATTCTATATGAAATGACCCCCTCCACCCCAAAAATTTCTAAAAACATTGTTTTGTGAAAATATGAGTTATAGAAAATACTTCTTAGAAACAGAATTTTTTTATGTGAAACACGACCAAAACACAATCTCTCTTCTCCCCCGATATATATTTCAGAAAAAGTTCTGGATGTTTATGAAAATTGATAGGCTAGGCACAGTGGTTCATGCCTGTAATCCCAGTACTTTGGAAGGCCAAGGCAGGAGGATCACTTGAGCCCAGAAGTTCCAGGCTGCAGTGACCTATGATCTCACCACTACACTCCAGCCTGGGCAACAGAGCAAAATCCTGTGAAAGAAAAGAAAAGAAAAGAAAGGAGAAGAGAAGAGAAGAGAGAAAAGAAGAAGAGGGGGGAGGGAGGAAGGAAGGAAGAAGGAAGGAAGGAGAAAGGAAAGGGAAGGGAAGAAAGAAGAAACAAGAAAGAAAGAGAAAGAAAGAAAGAAGGAAAGAAAGAAAGAAAGAAAGAAAAGAAAAGAAAAGAAAAGATGATAAAAGTGATAATCTCTATAGAGAGGACTACAGTAGAGATCCCTATAGTGTGGGTATATGTCCCCTCCCAACCTGTTAAAATTTGATCCCTAATGTTGGAGGTGGGGCCTAATGGGAGATGTTGGGTCAGAGGAACGGATCCCTCATGAATAGATTAATGCCCTTCTTCGTCGGTGACTGATTTTTCACTCTATTAGTTCTTGTTAGAACTAGTTGTTTAAAAACAACCTGGCAGCTGGGCGAGGTGGCTCATGCCTGTAATCCCAGCACTTTGGGAGGCCGAGGTAGGCAGATCACCTGAGGTCAGGAGTTCGAGACCAGCCTGGCCAACATGGTGAAACCCCGTCTCCACTAAAAATACAAAAATTAGCTGGGTGTGGTGGCATGTGCCTGTAATCCCAGCTACTTGGGAGGCTGAGGCAGGAGAATCGCTGGAACCCAGTAGGCAGAGGCTGCAGTGAGCCGAGATCGTGCCACTGTACTCCAGCCTAGGCGACAGAGCAAGACTCCATCTCAAACAACAACGACAACAAAAACAGCCTGGCATCTTCCCTCTTCTCTCTCTCTGGCTTCCTCTCTCACCATGTGATGTCTGCACACATCGGCTCCCCTTTGCCTTCTGCCATGAGAGGAAACAGCCTGAAGCTCTCACCAGATGCCCAATCCTGAACCTTCCAGCCAGCAGAACTGTCAGCTAAATAAACTTCTTTTCTTTACAAATTATCCAGCCTTAGCTATTCTTTTATAACAACACTAAATGGACTAAGATAGAGAGCAAGAAGGACTTTTCATATGTTTTTTTTTTTGAAATTTAAAATTTACTACAAAAATGTTTGCATTAATTTTCTTTAAAAATCATAAAAATAGCCTAGGCAGGTTGGCTCATGCCTATAATCCCAGCATTTTGGGAAGCCAAGGCAGGAGGATCACTTGAAGCTAAGAGTTCAAGACCAGCACGGGCAACAAAGTAAGATCCTGCCTTTACAAAAAAACAGGAAATTAGCCAGGGCTGGTGGTGCATGCCTATAGTCCCAGCTACTCAGAAGGCTGAAGCAGGAGGGTTGCTTGAGCCCAGCAGTTTGGGACTGCAGTGAGCTATGTTTGCACCAAAGCACTCCAGCCTGGGTGACAGAGTAAGACCCTATCTCTTAAAAAAAAAAAAAAAAAAAAAAAACCATGGCCCTATGGCCCTCCCTAGAAATATTGTAACCAGTATCATTCTTTGTATTGGACAGCTCAATTCAGAGAAATGGGTTTTTTGTTTTTAGTGTTTACCACATATATATTGTTATCACTTATGGGTGATTAAATAACAATGAAAACATCATCTGCAGGTTACAATATCTTTAATGTGAAAGAGTTTGAGACTTTTACAAGAAATGAAAATTTCACGTAAAAGGAATAATATACTTTAAAATAAACAAGTAGGAAGTTTACACACTTGATCAAAAATACTCTCTTTTAGTATCTAAAAAGTTATACATTTTAATCTTCTACTATACTATTAACCATTGACATTACTATTGGTATTACTACATAAAGCAAAAACAGAAAGAAAAATGTAAAGCAGTTAAATCATGCAAAGCAAATACAAGCCTAGTTTAAGGCTGTCTTTTGGTGCCCTTTAACTTCAGAGGATAAGCACTTCTAATTAGCACTTTAGTAAATTCATAATTTCATCATAATGTCAATAGTGAGAAACCTTAATTTTTAAAGTAATCTTAAAATAATAAACTGTATTCACTTGGGCTTTGGTTTAATAACCAAACATTCAAGAAATCCTTGAAATTTGTTTACAAGTTGGCCGTTATTGGGGTCTTACCTGTTCCCATAAATGGCTTTATCTGTGTGTCTTAACAGGCATGAGATACAATACCAAAAAAGCTATGATTCTTTCATAAAATGTGAGATTTTTATCGGTCACAAGTATCACAATACCACTTTACAGTAAATACAACAGCTAAAGTTGGTTTTGATTAAACATTTTAGAGGGGATAGTTGCTTAGAGAACATAAACTAAATGAATGATCAGAACCTTTATGAAGCAATGTATAAATAATTTCTTTCAAGCATTCTGCCTTATTATTCTATTAGTGCAGTGTAGTTTTGCTCAGATTTGATTTGCTTTCAGCCAATCAGCATTCTCCTGTTCGGTATTCCAATCAGCTATAATTCAGCCAGCATTATGACAGTTTAAGAACCAGCTTTAGAGCTTAATATGCTGGTGTTTCAGTACCACGCAGCAGTAAAAGCTGGTGCCCTAATCTGCCGATGGACCTGCTCAAGTGAATTGCTAGACGCCAATACACCAAGCAGGTGGCAGTGCTCTTAATTAAGTGAAGAACATCCTCCCTGAGGGGCTGGGATCAATTAGATCAGCTTGTCTCTTACAACTGCAGCCACTTTTTTTTTTTTTTCCATTGGAGGCTGATTGAGTCTCTGATTGTGGGGGAGTATGCAGTTCTAGCTTTCAGGAATTTCTGAGAAATGAGCTGCTCCCAGTGCTATGTCTTCTGAATTCTATTTAGAAGTGTGTGTGTGTGTGTGTGTGTGCGTGTGTGTGTGTCTTTTTCCTTTAAGGGAAAAATGCCAGAGGTGGGTGATCGGGCTCTCTAGAAATGCATCATGTTTTTAGCTGGCACTGCACATGGCCATCTAATAAAACAGATTTTTTGAACACCATTTTGTGATGTGAAGTTCCAGAGAGTCACAGCTTTATTCCAGAGGATCACGAGAAGACTTGTGCATCAGAGGGGCTGACGTTAGAAAGTTATAAGAACTACATTGAAATTTAAAGATGTGAGAGCTCTACAATTCCCAACCTAGCATAGCCACCTGGGGCATTTAAGCAACAGACACGGGTGTTTCGCCATAAGTTGATTTCCAAGAAACGGACAAGTTAGAAAAGATAGAAGGGAAGGAGAATGAAATGAGGAAGCGGACGAGAAAGAGAAAACAAGTAAGAAAAAATACAACTAGGAGCAGCAGCAGGCCTAGCAAAGGCCTTCATCTGATGCTGCTCCTTCTTTCTAACTGTATTCTTCTCTTGCCTGTCTCCTGAGTTTGATTGGCAGGTTCATCAGGATGAGAAGAAGAGTCACCTGAGGAATTAAAGCACTGGTTTCCTTATCAATCATGGTGACATATAGAATTGACTATGGCTTTTGTTGGTTTGTTTGGCAAGATTTCTCTGGATCAATTTCATCTCAGTATTTGCAATTAAACCTCGAATACAATAGGAGAAAGAAATTGCAAGTGAGTGTGTAGATGAAGTGACCATCGTATCAGTTTTCTTTTCCCCTTTTTTTTTTTTTTTTGTGAGATAGAGTCTCGCTCTGTCACCCAGGTTAAAGTGCAGTGGCACAATGTTGGCTCACTGCAACCTCCACCTCCTGGGTGCAAGTAATTCTCCTGTCTCAGCCTCCGGAGTAGCTGAGACTACAGGCGCCCGCCACCATAACTGGCTAATTTTTGCATTTTTAGTAGAGATGGGGTTTCACTATATCAGTCTGGCTGGTCTCGAACTTCTGACCTCATGTGATCCACCCGCCTCGGCCTCCGAAAGTGCTGGGATTACAGGAGTGAGCCAGCACGCCCAGCCCCATTTTTCTATATTAGCAAATTATTTGAAAATGGTCTTAAGATCATAAACTAAGAGTGTAATGTATGCTTTGGAAATACATCAGGAAAAGGAAACATTATGTGTGTGTGTGTGTGTGTGTGTGTGTGTGTGTGTGTGTGTTTGTACAGATACCTAAATGAAGCTTTACATAACTTTGTAAACCAAATTATATCCTAATATTGTTTGTACAAGCTGACATGCAATCACAGGAAAGAGCTATCTTGCACTAGCTAAAACTCATGTCAGCCCTGCTGCTATATTTCATGTCCAGGCTGGACCTAAGCTCGGCTGTGTACAAGTAAAACGGGTTTTACTGGACTAATTCACAAAAAGCAAAACAGGAAACTGTCCTTTCTAGTGTCATCATAGACACAAATCTACACAAGTGAGTGGCACAAACAGGAAGGCATAAATTCAATTTTGCCTTTGCCATTCACCATGTTAGAATACTCAGGAATGTGTGCTATTTTCTTTACAGAAGTATTTCTCAGCTTTGGCATGGCCTCTTTAACACCGGCTTAGAATTTTTTTAAAAGCCACATTTCTGCCCCTCTCTCCACATTGTAAAAGATTCTATAAATATGTTATGCAAGAACACACTCATTGGCTATTCAATATCCTGCCAGACACATGGATCTGGCATCTCTCAGGAATGATTGGCTGAGGTTTTTTGATGCAATCAAAACTGTAGCCTCCGTAACTGAAAATTATTTGATAAATGTGTGTTTTCTCATTTTGCTTAAAAGGAACTTATTATGTGGGCAGCCGCCTTTTGAATAATATTAATGCCAAAGTGAAGCTTTCTATTACAAAGTAAAATGAGGCCAGCTTTTAATATTAGGCTGAAAAGTATTGTTATGCAGCAGGAGGAATGACCTTTGACTTCAGCAAGAAAACTGATTTATACAATAAAATGCAGAGAGACAGCCTTTAAAAATGCTAACACCATCTTTTTTCGTAGTGAAGAAAGCCGGAAAAGAATTATATATGTAGTTATAATATTAAAAGTACCCCAATGAGAAATGCCCTCCATAGGGTCATCCCAGTAAATGCTTACCCTTTCCATAAAGTTGGGTGAAAAGGCCAAATCCACAGGTGGAAAAGGTATATTCCACCAAGGAGCTCGGGACAGAACCCACCTCAATTATTTAGCTTAAGTTGTTGAGAACCCAGACAAGTAGAGTAAATTAAATGGAATCATAGCATTTGGTGATTGGGTTGTCTTGCTAAAAACATATGACACATGCTTACATGCTTCTCTCCTTTAGGATGGATTGTGGCAGAGGGAGAATTCTCCTGTTATCCAAAGAGTATTTTAATGCATGCAGAGGTAATAAAGAATTCAGGTGGCGGAGGGAGGAGGGTCACTGTACAATATGTCAGGATTTGCTCTGTTCTGATCTACCTTCCCATCAAAAATTCATCTCTGACTGCCAAATTATATGTGCAGTGGTTAGCTTTTATGCAGACGTTGCTAAAGATAAGGTGCTGCTAGCTTAACTCAGTATATAGTTCCATCGCCCAGTCCAGAAGAGTTCTGTAGACATTTATTTGTCATGTGTAGCCCTGATTCTATTCAACAGAGCTATATTACCATTGTAAAAATGGGCTAAAACTAGGAAAAAATGTGAAAGAAAAGGAAATGAGAGTGATTTTTAATATTCCAAAGTAAAAAGCACAGTGATGATAATGGACTTTAAAAATGTATTGAAGTCAATTTAAATATCATGTTCCCTTAAATATACAGTAGGGCTCTCATATATACAATATTGAGAATTGTCTAAATTGAAGAAAACGTGGATAAAATGAGAGCCACTTGAATTTGCATTGCTTTTCAAACAGTGAGATAAGCACTATTGCTTTCAACATTTTGCAGTAGAAAAATGTTTGTCTCTGGCTTTAGACTTGGTTTCTCTAAGACTAGCAACACATGGTGCCAAATTCCACTTTCTGTGCTTGCTTTGTACACAAGCTACAGAGAGAAGAGGAAGCCAAAGATCAAAGCTGGGAGCCTTCGCGGAATGTACTAAAATATATTATAAACTCTTGATTTGGAGGATACACAGGATGAGAGCCCAAGAACAGTGTTTCCACTCCCTGCTTTACACTGTTCTGAGTGTTCCTAGTGGCTTAGTACCAACTTGATTTTACAACTTTGAGTTCCCCCAGTTTCTGACCATTTCTACCACTGAGTTGCTAAAGTCATAACAATACCACGGGAGACCACCCAAATCCAGTTCCAGTGTATTTTGCCTTGTCATAGTGACCTATAATCTTCTCATGTCCCAATTCAGAGGACATGAGAGGGAATCAAGGCCAAAAACACTTGTTCTGCCAAATGCCTATTTTCTCTTGGTGCTGTTCAGAATCTTTGAAGAAAGAGATGTGTGGAAAAATGGAGAAACTGGCTAGTGAGTTCAATTCTGACATACAGCCTATTATACCATTATGTCATCTTCTTGGCTTTGGGTGAACTTAGTGTTCTTGATAAGTAAGCAATATCCTTCAGGAAACATAATTATTAAATGAGAGATCACATGTAGCATGCTACTATCTAGTAATTAGTGACTTTACAGAATATAGTTACTTTTCATCACAACTAACGGATATTCTTTGCTATTTGACTTTTCCTGCATCTGGAGATCCTGGCATGATTTTCCTCAAGGACAAAAAAGGAAGGAGTTTGAGAAAAACGCCTTCACCACTCCTGGTCTAGAGAAATGAGATGTCAAGTCGTGAGAAACATTCCTGAACCCAAGCCGCTAACTTCAGTTCTGAATCAAAGCCTCTATGTGTTTCCATTTCTCATATTTTCATCTCAAATGCTTGAAAATCTCCAGAGCTTGAAAATCTGTCACTGTCTTCAGATATTCAAATGAAGCTCTCTGTTTGGGGAGCAACTTGCCACCCTTGAGAAAGTAGTATCTGACACAAAACTTGTTTCTTTAATTTTGGAATTAGTCTTTTCCCACTCTTCAAGCTCTTTGATTCAAGATCAAATTTGTCTCTCTACATTTTTCTTTCCCTGACACTCTTATTTATCATATTTATTTAATACATTCTCAGGGTCCAAGTAATATAAATTAATTTATATTTAAGTGTTGAAACATGTAAAATGTAGTAACAGTGATTAATAAGTTCTTAAGGAAAAAAACAGCCATTATCATTTGAAATTGAGGCAATCCAGTAGACTGGACAGTGCTCTGCATTAGACTGAGTCAGGAAAGTCACACTTTGGTTTCTGCCATTAACTAGTGCATGGCCTTTGTCCTCACTTGTAAAATGAGTCACATGGGTGAGATATGTTTAAAGATCAAGTGCTGGGATGCCATGATCCTGAGATATGCAACCCTCTGTTTTGCCCTCATAGCCATATTTTCACATAAACATCAAAACTAAATAACTTCATAGCCGGGTATGGTGACGCGCACCTGTAATCCCAGCTACTCGGGAGGCTGAGGCAGGAAAATTGCTTGAACACAGGAGGTGGAGGTTGCAGTGAACCCAGATTTCACCACTGCACTCTAGCGTGGGTGACAAAGCAAGATTCTGTCTCAAAAATAAATAAATAAATAAATAAATAAATAACTTCCGTGACAAAAGTCATTTTTGAAAAAACCTATAATTTGTTTTTTTTTAACCCAGATGTTGGTTGGTCTTACCTCCCCACAACCACACATATTGATAAGACCTAATTTCCCAAGATTCTTGCATATTCCTATTGCGCCAACATTTTCTTCAATTTCTTTGGCATCAGTTCCTGCTGCTTCTAAGTTAGTTTATGAGTCACCCCAATGCCATACCCATGTTGCCTGTATTTACGATGCTGACCCAGGTGTGAAATTCAGCTATCTTCCGAGCTGCCGTGAAAACAACACTCCCTTTACACAAAATTATTTATATGGCAGCCTTATGGAGGGAATAAGATGGGTAAAGAGGTTACATGGTAGCAACCAACAAAAAGAACTGGAAATCATACGTAGAACATCACTTCTTTTTTTTTTTTTTTTTTTTTTTTGAGACGGAGTCTCGCTCTGTCGCCCAGGCTGGAGTGCAGTGGTACGATCTTGGCTCACTGCAAGCTCCGCCTCCTGGATTCACGCCATTCTCCTGCCTCAGCCTCCCGAGTAGCTTGGACTAGAGGCGCCCGCCACCGCGCCCGGCTAATGTTTTTTATATATTTTTAGTACAGACGGGGTGGAACATCACTTTTAAACGTGTCTTTGGATATATTTCTTAGCCATCCCCCTTTCCCTCTTTGCCTCTCTTAGGTCATTTATAAGGCGGAACAGTTTAGCTATCACTTTATTAATTTATCTCCCATTAACTAGTACCTGAAATAGTCTTGCCTACTACCACAGATGGCTTCTCAAGATATCATTTTGAACAAAATTTGCTCTGTAAGAGGAATTCTGCTGTAAGCATGTTCAATATCTTTTCCATAATGCTAGATACATATCTGCCAATTCCATTGGAATCTGAATTATCCAGTAATCACTTTGCTTTCCACATCATTTTCTTTTTTGCAGGGTCGACTGCTAGTCTCTTTAGGTCAGATAATTTGAATCAAAGGAGACATAGGCACCATTGTATCTCACCACACTATTTCTTCCAGTTGTAGAACCATTTTGATTTGGTTGTTTTAAATTATTGTTTTGGTAAATAAAACACCATCTGACTGTTGACTCACATTATTGTCTCTGAGATGATTTATCTTCAATTATGCTTGAACAACTACTGGCAAGACCTCCTGTCTTTTTTCTCCGGATCCTGTGTGGCCTCCCTTCCTGCCTTCCTGGAAAGCAGTTAAGGATATGTAATAACATTTTGAAGGCACCAGGGGAACTAGAATCTTAAAAAAATAAATGAGAGGAGGTATACTTGTATTTTCACAATATGAGTTTTAACAACTAGAATGATTCCCACTATTTAAATTTTCTGCAAAACTGGGGAAATCATAAAGATGGATATTGAACTCAAGCTTTTACTTTGCTTTTTGTGAAGAAGTGAGAAACATATACCTCCAAGTTGTATTAACAGCAGGATTCCACTATTTATAGAGAGGTTTAGGAAAACATGGAGAAGGAAAATTCTCTTGTCTTCCAAAGACTTTCTATCACTACTCCCAGAAAGAGCAAGGATTGTATAGAGAAACTAAGCCCTGACTAGCATGGGGGGATGGGTGCTGTGCGTTCTCAACCGTGAGGGGAGTGCTCGGAGAAGTGCACCTGAGTCCAGGGAGGGTTGTGTTACAATTATTTCCAAAGGCAACAATGGCCTACTATTTGATGATATTTACAGCCCCCCAAATTACTTTGCATCTTTGAAAATGACAAATGTCAGAGCAGGGATGCAAAGTGAATGCTCAACATTGCCAGCTCCTCTTTTTTACTTTGAAAGTGAGCCTAGAAATTTTTCAAAGTGACCTTGCATGGGTTCACTCAAGTCAACTCCACGAGCTACAGAATCTCAAATGGTTTTTTCCCTTATTCTATTAACACTCAAGTCAATAGGGCTTAAAGCTATATAATGTACTCATTTAGTCAATATTTGCCCCATATTTAATATCTGTGCTCTCTTTACAATGTGGGAAATTCTTCCTTCTATTCTTTCTCAAAATTCTAATATGAAGCATCGTACTTCACACTAAGAAGATCAAAAAAAAGTGAATCTTGGAATCTCTTCATATCTTATTCTTTTATGGCATTTAAATTTTTTACTGCTTACTACTGTCTGAATGTTTATATCCCCCCAAAGTTCATATGTTGAAACCTTATCCCCAATGTGATAGAGTGCAGAGGTGGTACCTTGGGGAGGTAATTGAGTTATGAGGGCAGAGCCCTCAGGAATGGGATTAGTTTAAGGGACCCCAGAGAGCTATTTCGTCCGTGTTCACCAAGTAAGCACATGCTGAAAAGACATCCGTCTATGAACCCGGAAGTGAGCTCTCACTAAACGCAGAATCTGCCAGTGCCTTGATTTTGGACTTCTCAGCCTCCACAACAATGACAAATAATTCAGTTTTTTTTCTAAGCTACTCCATCTATGGTATTTTGTTAGAGCAGCCTAAAGGGACTAAGAGACTTACATATTTATGTTTCTCTCTCTATTTCTCTTTCTTACAAAAATGCAGATAATTGAAAAAGAAAAAAGTTTATCGCAAAAGGAAATCAGAGAATAAGCAAAAGTATAAAGGAGATATAAAGATGACACATTGCACATGTGATTCTGGCCTGTGTGTGTAACATGTGAGATTATGATGGTGTTTTACGGTTTTTTTGGGCTGCATCCTACTTTAAAACAACTTTAACAATGGACTTCTTTCCAAGTCAATAGATATGTGATCTTATAGAAATGATAATTCTGTAAGATAATCAGGAAGGATGCTTCATTCCTCACTCATTTTAGAACTATAAGGACCACAGTGAAAAGAGATGAAGCAGTTTGTCTGAAGCCATGCAGGAAGTTGGAGGCAAAACCGTGACCAGAACCTGCCTCTGATCATGCCATGCCCACGTCTTTCTGTCACAGACCACACTTCCTAACTAATCCGAGTCGGAGCCAGCACTCTCTGTGGCTCAATGTCTCCTTAAACCAGATCCTAGTTCCCTTGCAAATACGAATTCATCAGCTTTTCTCTATGTGCTGATGGCTTTCTTGCCACGTGCATATATTTTTTAGTACTTGCTTATAATAAACCTCACGTTGTCCTTCTTTGATACTGCGTTTGTCTTTGTTCAGGTGATTCCAATCATTTTTAGCTGTGAGTCGTGTAAGCAAGTTATTCCTATATTACTGTTGGTTTTAAGTTCCGTTACTTTGCTTAACGCGGCACTACTTCTCAGATAAAACGGCCTTTATTGTTTTGAGAGTGGAAGGAGTGGAGAAGTTTCTCTTTGATACTCGAATTATCTATTAGTGAAAACAGGTAGACTGTAAAGACACCACTTTCTTGCTCATTTTGAAAGTTCACTCTTATCTGGAAATCCATTGTCGGCAGATGATGCTGTGGTTGTAATCAGTGACGGCCTTCCCACGGCCCAGGACACACACAATCCAAGGGGATACAGTGTTGCCTGAACCTTAGCGATTATTTTTAAAAGACAGGCAGTTTATGGCAAAAACTTCATGTGAATAAAGCGAAAGGGTCGTTGAGGGCATTGGCTGGTTTTATTTTTTGTGGTTGTTAACTGCTACAGTAAGTGAAGGAATTACGGACTTATGTGGGTATTACAAAGGCTTTAGCAGGGATGGCTGAACGTGACTTGCTCTCTCTCTCTCTCTCTCTCTCTCTCTCTCTCTCTCCTTTTCCTGAAAAAGAAAATAGGATACTTGGCTCTTAGAAATGTGTGAGGACTTAAATTTCACATTCCTTTTGTTTCAGAGAGTTGAGAAGCTGTTGTTAACATATTACATGAGACTAATATATCAGAGTGGGTTCAGAGTATGAGCTGTAAGACGTATTGTTTAGTTTCAGCAATAGTTGAACTAAATAGTTACCAACTGTGTGTTTTGGGCAAGGGACTTCCTCAGTAAAAATGTAAGATGATAAAATATTATAAAACATGAGAGTGCCCCTAGAGATTTTCGTGAGCTAAATGAGATAGTATTTGCAAAGCATGTATTAGCACAGTACCTGGAACATAGCAGGGACATTATTTCCTTATATGCAGATTCTGTTAGCAATGACTGTCCTCATTCCACTTGGCAAACTGAAATCATCCAGGATCTCTCCACAGACTGAGGATGTACAGGCTTGCACTTGTTCAAAAGAAGCACTGCCAAGAGTTAAAGCAAGCACATAGTAGGGGTTCTTGTGGTTCATAATAGGAGATGATTGGTTCATTAAATACATATTATTATGTGCCCATGTTTTGCCAAGCACTTCCAGGGCCTAGAGACACATAAAAGAATAAAACAGGAAACATTTCCTTCTTTGCAGAACTTACCTTCTAACATAGGTAAGATTGATAATAAACATAAACTTTTTTAAAAACCCTAAATTATATGGCATGGATCAGGGTAAGACAGATTGTAAGTGTCCAGGAAGGGGTAATAGTGGTGTATATTGTAAAAATAATAATAATGATAATAATAAACAGCCAGCATAAATGCCAAATTCCTCACCTTCCCACTGGTTCTATGGAACCATTCAGCAGGGTTGAGGAAAGAACAGGTAATCAACTATAAAAACTTTTATTTTTAATTTTTGACTGTTGCTCATTTCTTTTATTATGAAAATTATATATGCTGACTTCAACATATTTAGGAATATTGATGAAAATATTTTGTTTTGTGGGAACTGGAGAACACCATGTCTAATACACAGGAAGCTTTGAATGAATGATGGGTAGATGGATGGGTAGATATCATTGCCTTGCTAGGGGAAAGTAAATTGTCTCATCCACAGTCTTTTAGGTAAGTGGCCTTTTCAGAGCTCTAGGGGCAGAATAAGGAGGAATAATGTCGCTAGATGTCTGATGTATGCATAAATGGACAGACCACAGAATCATGTACTAATACAACAAACAAATCATGAACAACTACTTTCTATACATCTTTGGAACACATTCTATATCTTCTAAGGGTGATGGGTTTTCCTTTCTGTTTGTGTGTTTTACTGGTTTTGTGCCAGGATGCTTTTATAAGTGTGCTTTGAAAATTAATGAAGAGCAGAAGGAATTTTTTAACACTTCAATGACAGTAATACTCTACTGAGAAATCTATTCAGGTGTCCAAATATCCGAACCTTGCTCAATGAAGAAATAGTAATGGAGGAAGGACTATTATAAATGTGTGATCTAAATCAAAAAAGAAAAGTCAAAAGTTGAACACTTGGATCTCAATTTTCCTCAATTTTGAAGGATATGTCCTTCTTTAATTACAGAGGGAATTTACTGTGGCTGACATACTCTATACTCTTTGTATAGGTTATGCATTGCTCTTTGTAGCTAGAAGTAATTAAATAATTAGCTGAATGTGCTGGCCCCACTTCATTATTTTACTCCATCGTAGCCTTTGGTTCAATTTTTTCTAACCATAGAAAGACTGTCTTTCATATAGAAACCTCTCATCTTGGGCATAAAACAGTTTTTGCCAATTTCCTTGGAAAGAATGAAGTTGCCTTCTAGATGACTTACAAGCTTAATATTGTGTCTTTAAGTGTACCATGTCTCCCCATTAAGGAGGACAATAGTTAAAAACAAGACATAATTGGCCAGGCACGGTGGCTCATTCCTGTAATCCCAGCACTGTGGGAGGCCAAGGCAGGTGGATCACCTGAGGTCAGGAGTTTGAGACCATCGAGACCAGCCTGGTCAATATGGTGAAACCCCGTCTCCAATAAAAATACAAAAATTAGCTGGGTGTAGTGGTGGGTGCCTGTAATCCCAGCTACTCGGGAGGCTGAGGCAGGAGAATCACTTGAACCCGGCAGGCGGAGGTTGCAGTGAGCCAAGATCATGCCATTGCACCCCAGCCTGGGCAACAGAGAAAGCCTCCACCTCAAAAAAAAAAACAAAAAACAAAAAAAAAAAACCATAATTGTCTTGATACAACTTCTTGCTTAGAAACAACTCTTGGCTAAACTTTTCCACGGTACACAAGGAAGACATTCAAATTGCTCATTTGAGAACAATGTTGAGCTGCAACATGTTAAAAGATAACTCCATATTATTTCTCAAGCACCCACTGGCATATAGCTTTGTAGTAGGCACTATTATAGGAGCAAATAAGCATTTGTTTTTTTATATCACATATTTCTTCTTCCACTGAAAAGATTTCCATTTTTCCTGAAGTCATCACTTTTATGTACTCATTTGGTCAATGAAGGAGAACTACAGGTATGTTCTGCTAATTTTCAACCACTTAAAATATATAGAATTAAGCTAGAATTATGAAGCTGTTTGCTGCAATACTATCCATCCTTTCATAAGAAGGGTAAAGTGTGATTTTTATTTTATTTTATTTTTTGAAGTTCTCTGTTCTGTAATGTTCTATAACCTGAAAAGTTTTCTGAATGTATTCCATTCTTCCAGAAATGGAATGGCAGGCTCTCAGCCTCCCGCTGGCATAACTGGTGAGAAGTCAGAAATTCATCCAATAGAAGAATGTGAATTCTCCCCATCTTTTATATTTTCAGTACTTTGAACTCTAAACTAAGCTAAATTACAGTCTTTTTATGTAAAACAGTTACAAAACTTCTGTATAAAATATTAGACAATTGAAATCTACATTGTCGTTCCATTTCTAATGCCAACCAAAAGTTAACCTAGTATGAGTTAGCAAAATCTTATAATAGCCAAATTGCTTAATCTTTCCTTATTCCTCAAATATTTGAGAGGTGGGAGTTTTCAGGGATCATGGCCATAAAGTGCAAAGATGAAAAGGCCATATAAAGAAAAATCAAGAGTGTTGGAAGAAAGGCTCTCTGTTGAAGAGGGCTGTGTCTATCTCAACTCTGAATCATGCAGTGGAGGAGCTTGGGCACGACCAGGTCCAGTGAATGTGCTGAGTGGTTGGGTTGACCCAGCATTGCTTGAAACATCAAAGCCCTGCAAAAAACATGTTACAAATAACAGAGGCTGAAATGTGCAGCACAAGACTCTTTTAAATGATTTTCAAGTTCTTTGGCTGAAAAGTTTTCTGAATGTATTCCATTCTTCCATGCTTTTGTAGAGAATAGACTGAATATAATGGGATATTTTACTGATGAATTTGGGTCAATATTACAAACGTTACACTTGTATTACAATTAGTGTAGTATTACTCTGGTATTATAAATACTAATTAATCAATTCATGCCCGATTGAAGTACCCAGGTAGTGATTAATTTTAATGCGGACCACTGTGTATTGTCCCTTCATTATATGGTACCTCAAACCTTTGCTTTTATGTTTTTATAATTAATACATCTTTTGTCTTTTTTACCGTCAGCTATTACATCCATGTTTGTTTATTCTAATTGCCTATTTTCTACTTTTAATTAATAACACCAACAATTAAACAACTAGTTTCATGAAACACTTCCACATTCATTTTCACATATATTTATATAAATCTTAGAAGAAAGACAAGCAACAGTCTGCATTAAATAACTTGCTTGAGGCTTCATGTTCTCCCTTCAGAGGAGAAGGACCAAACTTGAAGTTATTCAGAAGGAATCTCAGGTTGAAATAAAGAATGAATTTCTAAGAATTAGAAAATGTACAGCAATGAAGTTTATCATATTCTTCTCCATTATACTATTGGAATATATTATGATGACCTTCAACAATTACACCCAACTAAATCTGAGATCATAGAGCAATTCACCTTCTGAGAGTCAAAGTTATGCTTTCCAAAGTTCTGAAGCAACAAGCCCAGAAGAGAATTGCAAGCCCAATTCCAGTCAAGCTTAGGAGTCAAGTTCCCTCTCATCAAGATGGCAGACTCTCAGTCTCCCACTGGCATGACTGTAAGATAACCCCAGAAAGCCAATCTACGGATTCTGAGAGATGGTATCCCTGCCATGTTATGTTATTATTAAAATAAGGCAAAATCAGGACAGTAGGAAATAGGTCATTTCCTGCCATAGATGAATGGAAAATAGATCCATATAGAAGAAAGTTTGGTTGATATTTGCAATGAAGGCATTTTGAAGGGTGGAAAATGGGAAATTATGCAATTTCTGGCACCAAGCTTAGGAGTCAAGGTCTCTCCATCAAGATGGCAGGCTCTCAGTCTCCCACTGCCATGACTGGTGAGAAATCAGAAATGAATCCAATAGGAGAATATGAATTCTCCTCAACTTACTTTAACTTCTCATGTTAACAAATTAATTATTACATTAACAGAAGAATGTGAATTATCCTTAGCAAAACCTTATAATAGCCAAATCCCTTAGTCTTTCCTTATTCCCTAAGCTTCCAGCTGGATGGATTTAGGTAGATTTTTCCCTGTAGATGGAACTATTTTTCAACTTTGTGTGTGTGGGCTTTTTTTTTTTTTTTTTTTTTTTTGACTTGCTCTGTTGCCCAGGCTAGAGTGCAGTGGTGCGATCTTGGCTCACTCCAACTTCTGCTTCCTGGGTTCAAGAGATTCTCCTGCCTCAGCCTCCCAAGTAGCTGGAATTACAGTCACATGCCACCACGCTTGGCTAATTTTTTGTATTTGTATTAGAGATGGGGTTTCACCATGTTGGCCAGGCTGGTCTTGAACTCCTGACCTCAGGTGATCTGCCTGCCTCGGCCTCCCAAAGTGCTGGGATTGCAGGCGTGAGCCACTGTGCCCAGCCTCAACTTTGTTTAAAGCTTTCCTTACTACCCTTTGCACTTGCAGTATCAGCCATTTTAGCAGGCTCATATTCTCCCTCTGGCTTTTTATCAGGACCACACTAATTGCCAAGGTCTTGTTGTTAGTTTTCTTCCACAGTCTTTTTCAGCTTTTTTCTTGATAACCTTTCAATTCTATACAGTGAACTTTATAATATATTTATCTCCAGCACAAAACCATCTTCTTGACACCAAATAGGCTTTGCCTATTGAACATCAACAACTGAATATGTTACCTGCTAACCAAGCTCATTCTCCCTACCCCTACATTAATAATTTCTTTAGACATCCCAATTTTTATTACTGGAAGCACTGTTCCCCCTGTTCTTCTAACTCACATCTTTAGGAAGGGAAAGAAATGAAAGGAGCACTCTGCAATGATTTCTCTAACCTCAATCTCTTTGATTCTACAACCCTATTATTTTTACAGATTACATCCTACCTTATTATTTTGTCACAGTAGAATGGGTAGCTGTGGTTCCCTAGGTCTATTGTCTTTGTTTTCCTCAATTCCTCCTACCCATGACTGCTGCAATAATCTTCCAAAATACATGGCTCTGATTGTCTTACTCTTGTTTTCAAAACTTTCACTAGTACAAATCCAATTAATCATGAACTCCTCAGTCTGTCATTCATGGTTCTTTATACTCTAGCCCTAAGCTATCTTCTGAATCTAAATTCCCAATTATTGCACCACGAGGCAATCTCCAGACTTTGCTGATAATTTTGCTTTTCTTTGCATATGTTCTAAACTTTAGTACTCTATTCTTGCCTTCTGCTTGAGATACAAACTCGCATATATGCCTTGTGAAAGCGTTCTTGTTTTGCAAATATCCTTCCTCCAACCTATGTGACATCTGTCTACTTCGTACTCCCTCAGAACCTAGCCAAGAGCCTTATACATAGGTTTTTAATAAATATTTGTTCAATTCAACTGAATTGAGTGGAAGTTCTTTCACAAACCCATAGTAAAAAAGTTAAACATGTACTGCTCTTTATTTTCCTTCTGTTCTAATAGAACATCAGCTATGTAATTGGTCTTCTTAGTATTCTTCCTCTTTACCTCTACACTTTTTTTTTTTTTAATGTTGCAAAAGCATCAACTGAAAAGAAGTTACAAAGACACATGGGAACATCTGCTCTCAGAAGCCACTTGAAAAATAAGTATGCCACAGAATGGGGAAAACATCTGTGTAGTGTTCAAGAGATTATTAGTTGTGCTGTAGAAAAGTAGCAGAGAGTGAGAGAGAAACAGATCCACACACACACACACACACACATACACGCACACACGTAAACACCAAAATCAAGAAATGAGTTTTAGCAAGAAATAGTGTAGCATACAGTTGGAGACCAGAGTAAGACTTTATTCTCCCTTAACCTTGTTATTTAGTGTTTCTTCAGAAGGAACAAAAGAGCTATTTTGTCCTTCAGATTGTATTCCTGAATAGAAAATATTCATAGCTGTAACTTCATCTGATTAGTCCAGAGGAGAGGTAAGTTTCAAAATGCCAACATTTTATCTCAAATAATACAACTGATCTCATGACTAATTATATGTAGATTCCAGGCAGCTGCCTGTTACTATAACAGAAAAAGCTTAATTAGCATTAGAAGACTCGAGTTCTGTACCTAGATTTACAACTAAAATTGGCTACTTTAAAGTATTTTAATTTTTATTTATTTCATTAAATTTTACTAAATTTAAATAAGTCCATGACCCTTGTATTTAATCAACATTTCCCCTAAGGAGAGCTGCAATTCAGACCTAGCCTCACTTTAAGTATGATACTCGTACAGACAACATTGAACCATTAACCTTATATAAGATAATATTAGAGGTCAGGCACGGTCACTCAAGCCTGTAATCCTAGCACTTTGGGAGGTTGAGGTGGGTGGATCACTTGAGGTCAGGAGTTTGAAACCAGCCTAGCCAACATGGTTAAACCCTGTCTCTACAAAAATACAAAAATTAGCTGGGCATGGTGGTGGGCACCTGTAATCCCAGCTACTGGGGAGGCTGAGCCAGGAGAATTGCTTAAGCCCAGAAGATGGAGGTTGCAGTGAGTGGAGATCGTGCCACTACACTCCGGCCTGGGTGACAGAGCAAGACTCCATCTCAACATAATAATAATAATATTAGAAAATTAATTTGTACATCCCCCAAAGCAAACAAACCATATAGACTGCTTTTGTTAACGTAATGAAGTATGCTGTCTTGGACTAACAAAATATGCTGTCTTTGGAGCCTTCACAGGTCCAAAAATCTGTTTATTCTATTTGATTCAGATTTGTTTAAAATTTCAGGAAATGTCTATAGGCAGAGTATTTCTTGTTGTTCATTTTTGGATTCGTCGGTACTTTAAGATCCTATTATAGCTTGTTCAAGGTATTTATCTTCAAGATGCTTTAAAATTTACTTGGTATGCATGGATTAAAGCTACTACCTATTAATATGAACAAAATAGAATTCCAAGGAGGCAGTAAACCTGGCACTTCTTTTCCTAAATAAAGGGGGAAGGCATGACATGTAGAATTGGGAGACATAATAACTATCTGATCCAATCTTCTGAGTTTACAAATACTACACAAGAAATAATTCATAAGGCAAATGTGTTCATGGCAACAGATGGCAGTGACTGGATATTTGATGGGTTCTCCATGCCTCATGCTAAAAGACACTGAGGCTACCTACCACTTCTCTTAAAGGCCTTTGATATACATGGGAGACTTGGTTATTTTTTCCTAAGTTTAATTCAAAATTAAACATGGGGTGGGGGCACCTGATTTTTTTTTTCTTTTGAAATACGTGGTCTTGGACAATAGATAAATTAGAAGAATGATGAGGTTGCTGTCCTCAGATACAAAAATGACTTTTCAAGCAATAATTTTTTTAATCTGTATTACCCTAGAGGTCAAAACTGGGGCCAGTGGTTACATGTGAGAGGAAGTCAAGCAGTAGCAGCTCATTATAATGAGGAATGTTTAAACATTAACATTAAGAATGCTCTGGTGATTACTATCACGTCCTTTTAATGAAAAGAATGCTCATCTTTGGAGGTGTCCATTTAGACGTAAGGGAAAGAGATGTTAGGGATATTCTAGAGAAGATCCTCATACTAAATTTGTGCAAATTACCTCTTTATTAAAGAAAAGTACTTCATTTACTCATTTGGAGTTCAAACTGACAATAGCAAATAAATTGATATAATGAATGACTTCTCCCTCTAGGGAAGAAGAGGGGCAGCCCTTCTGGAATAGTGTGTCCATAAGCACATGGCAAGTATAACATGGAAGGAGCTGGAGAAGTGAGGACAAATCTCATAATCCTTTCACACTTTACTCTATAAAATAGAAAGGACTTTAATACATGCCTTATGGGTTGTTTGGCTCAAATGCCATATAAGCTAATAGAGTTAGTGATTTTCCTTCAAAGTCCTGCCCTCTCTAACTGTTCAAAGGAGGAGGAAGAACACCGGCATTCATTCTCATCCATACACTGAAGATTTGAATGATTTTAAACAAACACTTTCCCTTTGATTAATCTGTTTTCTCACCTCAGGAACTGATTGTTTAAAACATATTCTACTGTCCACTTTAAATACTATGATTCTTTGGCTCTAAGCCTGCCCTCTTTCTATAGCCCAGATTGAGGCTAGTCTTGGAAAATGGCTAGAATGTATGTTCTTAGTTCAGTATCACCTCAAAAAAGCCCATTAGGAGGACAGATTATTAGGGCTAAGGGAAGTGAACCTTCAGAATTCTGTAAGAAGGAGAAAATGTCTTAGCAGAATTTTCATATTTATATACTCTTGGTGTTTTTACTTAAATCCCTTGCAGACCCTGAAATGGGACTCCAGGGACTCTACGGCTATATGATCAAAATGACTATGTATGTTTCACTTCATCTCAGGCCCTGGAAGGAAAAATATTCTTCTTACACAGCCTGGCACCAAGGGATAATGAAACTATTTCTCTATGGCCTCCTGATGGGTCAGCATCCTCCTGAAAATACTCTTCCTACAGGGTGAAAAATAATTCTCCATATATGTGAAATGCCTTGAGCTCTTTAGAAGAAAAACCCAGGTTAAATTTCAGCTATGATTATTACCATCATTATCCCTCACTCATTCCATATAATCTGACACATTATATTCCCTTCAGCCCCATGGAACCCCTTTTCTGAATGTTGATTCATTAAAAATTCATGTATAATAAAAAATTCTGTGTGCCTAGAAATTCAGTGAACCCCATTTTTTATGGGAAATCTGTTTCTTCTGATCGTAAAAATAGTGTATTTTCTCTTGGATGTTTGCATTTACATCAGTAGAGTGTTCTATCAAAAACAATCTGAGATACAGACAAGAGGTTAGTGGAATAGAAATAAGATTGTACTACATGATCTGTTTCTATAGACCAATCTTGTGTCTCAAGATTTCTTTCAGAGGCATTAATTTTTCCATATTCTCTTTACAGATCTGAAATTGGCCTTTTTTTCAAAAAAGGTATGAATCCTTTCAAGAGGTGTCATTTAAACGCTGAGAGCATCAAATTCAAAAATGAGGAATCCTTGCAAGCACTCCATAATGCCTCAGTTTCAATTCATTGCAAAGACTAAAATAAATTGTGTGTGATTTTTCCAAAGTGACACTTATTAGTATATTGCAAAAAAAGAAAACAAACAGGAGTTGTAACATGAGCAAGCATATTTTCAGTATGTAAGTCACTTCCTGGGAATTAGATGTTAGGGACACCTGCTTATCACGATGGAGATTTTAACATCAGCATTGCACTAAACTAGAGAATAGCTGATACTTTGTTCTTTATTTTAACAAAGGAGAGATAGAGCTTGAGTACCATCCAACCTAATCTACAGATTTCTTCATTGTATCTTTAGTATGTATTTAAAGTCAGCTTCACTAGTCACATCTTCTGGTGTGAAGCACGTTCATCCAACAAGACTTCCAGATAATTAATGGTTGTATAATTACATCCCAAGTACATTTCTAGAACTGAAGATATAGGGATGAATCAGACATATTCCCTTGTGGTCTGAATCTCACAGATTTGGGAATTTAAAAAGACATATAAAATATGTAATCCAGATGTCAGCTGTCCCCTCGTGCCATGTACAATTTTAACCTGTTTCAGATTCTATGCACTGCTATAACTCCCTTGCTATTTGGCCAAAAGAGCCTCTGACACCAAAAGTGTAAGTGAAGTCTACAGTTTTCACTTAAGATGAGGTGGTAGTAATGGAGAGGGATTTACACCTCATAACTTACTCTTTTTTTTTTTTTTTTAAAGAAGTAAGCCTTTATTTCCTTGTTTTGCAAATAAAGCTGGCTAAGTTGGTTGCTTTTTGGTGATTAGTCAAAGAGACCAAATCCCATATCCTCGTCCGACTCCTCCGACTCTTCCTTGGCTTCAACCTTAGCTGGGGCTGCAGCAGCAGCAGGAGCAGCTGTGGTGGCAGCAGCCACAGGGGCAGCAGCCACAAAGGCAGATGGATCAGCCAAGAAGGCCTTGACCTTTTCAGCGAGTGGGAAGGTGTAATCCGTCTCCACAGACAAGGCCAGGACTCGTTTGTACCCGTTGATGATAGAATGGGGTACTGATGCAACAGTTGGGTAGCCAATCTGCAGACAGACACTGGCAACATTGCGGACTTACTCTTAAAGATACAAAAACTTCCACCAGGTATGATGCAATCCTAACCTCCTCTTTCCCATGGGGTGGGGGCACACTGAAGGTAAGGCCAGTAAGGTTTTCTCTGCCATTTCTCCAGGCATAAGGCCCTCTGGTGGTTGTTTTCTCTGATCTGTTTACTCTCACTGTTTCTCAAGTCTCACAACTCTTCAATAGTTGTGCAAACCAACTCATTCCTCTCACAGCTTCTACATACAGATTCATGCACACACACACACCCATTATCCTGCTCAAAAGAAATACCCATCACCCCTTAAAACTATATGATTTATAAAAAGAAAAGACACAGAAACAATTCTGACAAAAATGAAGATATAGATAAATACTATGGAGGCCGGAAGAGAATTTAATTTACTTAGTAGGCTACATTTGAATGCAATTTAGGAACCTATATCAGTAGCATTTGCAGCTTCCACTGGCATTATTATCTGAGGTTCTGACATCCTCAGCAGGGAAGAAGGTGAGACAGGTACTATGATTCTCTCTAGATGATACTGATGGCAGCCTAGAAGAGTAAACACTTCACATACTTGTTTATGTATACCTATGTTTGCAAGGATGACCCAGAAAACAGTGGCAGAAGTGAACTTTGGGGAGGAGATCTGGGAGACAGGGGGGATAAGCCCAGCTCTAATATTTGAAGGCTCTGGGTTAAAAGTACAAATAGAGGCTGTATATTAACTGGTTAAATGTTTAAAAGTCATAAACCAAGCTAATAAAACTGTTAAATAGTCTATTCTCTGCTATGACAACTATATCGTTACAGTAGCAAAATATAAAAACCCTAGAAGAAAACCTAGGCAATACCATTCCGGACATAGGCATGGGCAAGGACTTCATGACTAAAACACCAAAAGCAATGGCAACAAAAGCCACAATTGACAAATGGGATCTAATTAAACTAAAGAGCTTCTGCACAGCAAAAGAAACTACCATCAGAGTGAACAGGTAACCTATAGAATGGGAGAAAATTTTTACAACCTACCCATCTGACAAAGGGCTACTATCCAGAATCTACAAAGAACTTAAACAAATTGACAAGAAAAAATCAAACAACCCCATCAAAAATGGGAAAAGGATATGAACAGATACTTCTCAAAAGAAGACATTTATGCAGCCAAAAGACACATGAAAAAACGCTCATCATCACTAGCCATCAGAGAAATGCAAATCAAAACCACAATGAGAGACCATCTCACACCAGTTAGAATGCTGATCATTAAAAAGTCAGGAAACAACAGGTGCTGGAGAGGATGTGGAGAAATAGGAACACTTTTACACTGTTGGTGGGACTGCAAACTAGTTCAACCATTGTGGAAGACAGTGTGGCGATTCCTCAAGGATCTAGAACCGGAAATACCATTTGACCCAGCCATCCCATTACTGGGTATATACCCAACGGATTCTAAAGCATGCTGCTATAAAGACATATGCACACGTATGTTTATTGTGGCACTATTCACAATAACAAAGACTTGGAACCAACCCAAATGTCCATCAATGATAGACTGGATTAAGAAAATGTGGCACATATACACCATGGAATACTACGCAGCCATAAAAAAGGATGAGTTCCTGTCCTTTGTAGGGACATGGATGAAGCTGGAAATCATCATTTTGAGCAAACCACCGCAAGGACAGAAAACCAAACACCGCATGTTCTCACTCATAGGTGGGAATTGAACAATGAGAACACCTGGACACAGGGTGGGGAACGTCACACACTGGAGCCTGTCGTGGGGTTGGGGGAAGGAGGAGGGATAGCATTAGGAGATATACCTAATGTAAATGACGAGTTAACCAGGGCAGCAAACCAACATGGCACGTGTATACATATGTAACAAACCTACATGCTGTGCACATGTATCCTAGAACTTAAAGTATAATAAAAAATAAAATTAAAAATTGAAATTAAAAATTAAAATTTTAAAACAGAAAAATATGTGCAAAACTATGGTTATATTTCTAAAAGTCGACAAAATAACAAAGATGACTCAATTTTATTAATGATACATTTCTTGTGGTTTTGTTGAAGAGTCAACAATGTTGAGACGAGTAATAAAGACATAATCATTATATATTTAATACATAAAGTTATTATATATTGATTACATAAAATTCTTTACATTATATATGTATTACATAAAATTATTATAAAATAAAATAATTAAAATAAAGCAAATACAAATTAGTAACAAAATAGATACCATATATTTAACATAAGTTAATTTTAATAAACAACAACAATAATAACTGATAGCAACAGCAGCCCATCTGGAGAAGCTACTGTGAAGAGGCAGGCTGCAGCGGGGAAGGGATTGCAGGGGCTGCGTGCTCCACAGAGCTGGCGGGAGCCAAGAACAGTGGAGAGCCCCACCCCCCCTTCCTGGTTGGCAGGGCAGGAGCCCCGTCCTCCTGGGCGCAGCTGCAGCTACCCAGCTGTGGCTGTGGACCTGGGCATCCTTGCGCTTCGGGGACCCAGGAAGCCCCCTTGACTCCCACAGGTTTGGAAGTGCCAGCTCCTGCTGCCTGGCCTCTCCCTGTTCCCAGCACCTGCTCCGATTTCAGAACAAAGTTGTGGCGGAGGCCCGGTGCTGTCACAACCCAGCCGGATGTATGCGCACTCAGGGTGGTGCTGACATGCCAGCCCCCTGCCACCTCGGCCCAATCTGGACTTTGGGTGCCAACAAGCATAGAAGGGAGGCCAAGGGGGTGCTGAGGGTGGCTCATTGGCTCATTGTGGGCCTGAAGGCACCCCTTGGCACAAACAGTCTGGGCACCATGGATGACACATAGATGGTGGCAGGAGGCAGATAGGCTCCTGGGCAGAAAGGGGCTGGTCCCCAGTGAAACCGCACGTTCCAGCCAGGGATGGCCTGAAACATGGGGGCTGGGCTGTCAGTTCCTGGTGGAGTCCATGGCCTGGAGTGAGAACTTATGGTGCTTTTTCTGGACCCACCTATGGCCGACCATGGACTAATCAGCATGCACTTCCTCCCTTCTGAAGCCCATAAAAACCCCAGACTTAGCCAGACTCATGGAGATGTTGGAACAACCTGCCTGTGGATAGGAGCTATCCACTCCAGGTCTCTTCTCTGCTGAGGGCTGCAAACTCAATGGGATGACCTGCCTGCGGTTAGGAGCTACCCACTTGCAGTCTCCTGAGAGCTGTACTGTCACTCAATAAAGCACCTCCTTGCCTTGCTCACCCTCCACTTGTCTGCATACCTCATTCTTCCTGGATGTGGGACAAGAACTCAGGACTCACTAAATGGTGGGACTGAAAGAGCTGTCACACAAACAGGGTTGAAACATGCATCCTCCACTTGTCGTGTTGCGGGTAACAAGAAGGAGAGAAGAGCTGCGGTCCTTCCGGGGCCCAGACTTAGGGGCTTAGGCCCAGACTTAGGGGCTCCCTGAGCCAGGGCTATGACACCCTCCTTGAGGCTCTGTGGTTTCTAGTGTCTCCAAGCTTCTGGATGCCACTGCATTCCCCTTGTCCAGAGGCAGGTGCCCACAGTGGAAGCCACTTACAGTGCATCTGATCCAGCCACGGGTTTACATGGAGCCAGCACCTGTGCTGGCACCTGGAGCTGCCTGCCTGCCACAGCAGCTGGCATGGCTGGCTGTGCACAGAGGCCAGACCATGTGCTCTCTTGTTCATGCACCCCTCACTGCTCTGTGCCTGGCTTACCCTTGGCAGGCATCGATATAGGAGTTAAAAAGAAATGACTTAGGCAGATAGCAAGGCTATGGGAGTTTTCAGTATGGCTTTTCTTTTTAATGAAAAGCAGCTCCAGATTATTTTCCTTTCTAACAAAGAGCATCCTGTAAAATTGAGCTGCAGACATAGATAATGGCAGTTGTGCCAATCATGTTCAAGATGGCAGCTCCATCTTCCCTTCTCTTTGTCAGCCACATGTGCAGTAAGGAACAGACAGGATGGCATCAATCAACTTGGAAAATTCCATAATAAGATTAGGGTGGGGCGACCAGCTTTCCTCGCATACTGTGTAACACGATTGAACCAATCTGTGAGCCCTATGTAAATCAGACACCACCTCCTCAAACTGGGCTATAAAGTCCAGGGCATTTGCCACCAGCCGGTCCTTTCCACTCAGAGACCCCCTTCTCTATGTAAAGAGCTGTTTCTCTTTCTCTTCTCTTCTGCCTATTAAGCCTCTGCTCCGAAACTCCTCATGTGTGTCTGCGTCCTAAATATTCCTGGTGCATGACGATGAACTCCAGGGTATATAACCCAGACAATGTAGCCACTTCAGCGTGGGATCCAGGCTGGTAGCATGAGCCAAGGGCAGCCTGCCAGGCCTGGTGGACAGAATGAGCCCAGCAGGCATGAGCAAAACTCAGTCCAAAGTGCCACCGGCCACAGAGGCTTCCAGCTGGAAAAACGACACCCCAAGAATCCCATGACATCATGATTAAAACATAATGACATAGATTTTTATACACTTATTCTAGCCAATTTTTTATATTTTCATTTACCAAATTCCCTAATTATATTTTTATGGTCCAGATTTTTTTCAGACTCTGTGTTCTATTGACACAAACTTTCTTTTATTATGTTAATTGTTGTTTATACAGCATTTTTTACTGTATCTTAAAGCACTATCTAAGCACTTAAGGGCACTTTTTCTGTAAAAGCCCAAATAGTAAATAGCTTTGCAGGACATTTGGTTTCTGTGGCAACTATACAACTCTGCCATTGAAGTATAAAAGCAATCATGGACAATACCTATATGTTTGGCCATAGTTGTATTGCACTAAAATTTTGTTTACGAAATGAGGCAGCAAGTTGTCTTTAGCCCGAGAGCCATAGTTTACTGACCTTTGATCTAGATCCATACAGTATTTCTAGCATTTTCTTTAGAATTCATCAGTGCTGGTATATTATAAGGAAAATGGAAAACTGCATACATTATTTAATGTTTTTCAAATCTTCAATGGAGATTTCACATTGATCTACGACAAGAAAATCATTTCTATAGAAATTTGTATTGTTTTATTTGAATCTTCTCCTTCAAAGTTATGCAAGTATTTTTACTTTCTTGTTAAAATGTTCTTATGTTTTATTGAGATATCACTTATGTCGTCTATTTCAGAGTTTCTTTTGGTTTGTAAAAACAGTTTTTATTAAAAAAAAATAAAACTGTCTTAAAAAGTGATACCGCCAAACGTAGATCTATTTAGCATTCTTTGTAAAGCTTTTGTTAGCATTATTCATAATCATCAAAACGTGTGGAAGTTCTAATTCCAAAATGATTTCACTTTTTCACCAAAGGTCCTGCTCTACTCTTTAAGAAGATTTCTGTTGTTTCACCTAATACCTTTAGTGCATTTCATATCCTGCCTGATCTAATTCTTGTTGCTTTGACGGACTTTAGTTCTCTTTCCCAATTGTTCAGGAGTTTTAGTAAGGCTAAATTTTGATATGTGTCTCATCACCATATTCCACTTTAGAGAAGATCTAGAAAATGCCATATTTACTCTTTGAATTGCTTCAGAAACTATTCACAGTTAATGCCATGTTTCCTAGTAACCAATGCAATCTATGTGCCACACATAAACACAAAGAATGGTTTTAAATTTTCAGTCAAAATCTAGCTTACATGTCTTTTTCTTTACTAACCATGTTTTCTTCCCCTTATCAAAGGCATGCATTAGTCAATATTTTAAATCAATCTCAAAAATTAAAAGGCATCTTTCTAGATTTTCACTTAAGTCAAAACCTATACTTCTTTAAATGAACAGGCTTAAACCTAGAGAAATAATCATTAATTTGTACTATTCTGTTTCATTCTTTCAGTAGATAATATACAACTACAATGAATACTAGGTGTTCAACATGACTTTTCTTCATGATAATAAAATCTCTGCAAGTAATATTTACTTTTTATTTTTAAAAGTTTTGTATGACTTCTTATCTCACTTTAATATCCATTACATTATTATTCTAATTTTGATTTTACTCTTCTAGGTAATTATTTTATACTTTTTATCTGTCATATGTTGGTCATTCTTGCATCATATTTCTAAAATATTTCTTTTTTAAGCCAACAATTTTACATTATTTCCATTGTTGTCTATTTTGTGGGAAGCATCCTTATGCTTAGCTAAATATTAGACATGTACTAGTATTTTAAGAACCACGTCAATGTTTTGTATCCGACAAAGTTTTACCTGTCTTTGCTAAATACTGTTAGTCATTTGCTACTTATAGAGCATTTTTTCTTCAGTTCCAATAATTGTATATGATATATGTGTATGTACGTGCAGGTGATATTTCTGTATTATGTTAATTGAGAAACTAAATGTTTCTAGTCACAAATATGGTTTTTGGCCCAAGTTGATCTTGAAGATTGGTACATACAATGGTAATACCTATGTGTTTTGTCTTTGAAATTAGAACATAAAAGCTAACTTCTAAAAGTTTCTTTATCCATTAGAAATAATTTTGCTTTAAAATTACTTAACTGTTATATCATGTCTAACTAATAGGAGTTGTACTTACAAATTTGAATCAGATTTTGTTTGTACCAGGAAACATTCCTGCACTTTCAGAACTACTGGTGGCTGTGTTCTAGAACCATCATTGAAGAGGTGTAATTTAACTCCAGTTTGTCTCATACTTCTTATTCAATTTGATAATTGTATTAGTCAGGGTTCTCTGGAGGGACAGAACTAATAGGATAGATGTATGTATAAAGGGGAGTTTATTAAGGAGTATTGACTCACACAATCACAAGAGGAGGTCCCACAATAGGCCATCTGCCAGCTGAGGATCAAGGAAGCAAGTCTGAGTCCCAAAGCTGAAGAACTAGGAATCTGATGTTCGAGGTCCGGAAGCATCCAGCATGGGAGAGAGAAGTAGGCCAGAAGCCTACACCAGTCTAATCTTTCTGCATTCTTCTGCTTGCTTTTATTCTGGTTGCACTGGCAGCTGATTAGATGGTGCCCACCCAGACTGAGGGAAGGTCTGCCTTTCCCGGTCCACTGGCTCAAATGTTAATCTCCTTTAGCAACACCCTCACAGACACACCCAGAAACAATACTTTGCATCCTTCAGTACAATAAAGTTGACACTTAGTATTAACCATCACAAATGATTTTGTGAATCCAATCTTCTTTAGCTGTTAACAAACAGAATGATGATGCTATTGTTGCTTCTGAATTGTAAACTTGATATGAATATTTCTTTTCCATTCTCATTGTATTTATAAGCATTTATGTCTTTACTTAGTAGAGCATAAGAAGATGCAGATATTTATCTGAACTGTTCATAGTAGAATTGACAGGAATCATTTCCTTGCTCATCTTCCTTGTTTTGAGCAATATTTAATATTCGTTAAACAAAGAATGTGTAATATCTTTTACGTGAATTCTTGGGTCATATATGATAGAAGTCCACTTGCTTTCACTCTTTTATACTTTTAAAAATTTAAGTAAACCACCTCTTTGAAGATTTGCTATTTCTTTTTCATTGTCTGCTTTTTTCCTTTTCTGAGCTTGTCTATTTTTTATTTCTATTACAGTCTTGACTTGTACATAGTCTCAGTTATATAAAAAGTAAATGAATTCAACATTTATGAAATTTGAAAATAATTTTTATTAAAACTATAAAATTTAAAAGTGAACAAAAATGAAAACATTCTGTGTATTTTCAAAATTATTTTATTCTAAAATATTTATTAAAATTAAAACACCAGATATAAATTAAAATTTAAAATACTTCAATTTGTAACCAAACTATTCAAATAAACTAAAATGCTTTATTTACTTTTTTGAAATTTAATTCACTATTTTAAAGTAATTTTATAAAAAAACATATTTCTAACACTTATCTTTCTAGTGGTTAATGTAAAAAACTGACATCATACTTCATCATACTTCAAATATATTTGTAAAGATTTGTGCAATATATCCAAATTTAAGAAGAATCTCAATTGTTAGTGATTGCAAAAGTTCTTCAGTTTTCATGTGCAACTACAGTGAGCCCCATGCTAATTCATAAACACCCCAGGAACACAAATTAGAGCAGGAGGGGAACAAGAGATGGATCATTCAGGAAACTATTACCTCTATGCTACCTCAGACAAAGTACTTGATGAGTTAATTAATTTGTCTTTTTCTGTTATTTAAGTGCTTCCCTGATCAAAACCTCTCTATACTCTGAAGCAGTGTCTGTCTTCAATGTCAGCTGTGACACAACTCATGAACTTTTAGAGCCTGTGAACACAGTTGTCTTTCATTTCAAGACAACAGACAAGAGACATGAAGGAGCACCTCCCTAGGGCTTGAATTGTGATATCAAGGATGATGAGCAGCCCTGTGAGTTGACGCTCTTCTGAGAATAGAAGCAGTTTGTCTTTTTAATAAACTCACATCTCTGTGTGTTTGAGACCTGCAAGACCCTCTAAATCTAAAACGTGGAACAAGGCAAGGACTCCTCTCGCTTTGTTCTTACCTAAGTGTTCTACTGCTTGGGACAAGGGTAGTAAAGAATTACTTTTCAGTTTATATTCTTCCCTATTGATTTTTTTTTAACCACATGAATAGATAACCAATTCAAAAAATACATGCAACTTGTGTTTTTCTAGAAGCATACCCTAAAATAAAAATTTTTATGTAGTTTAAAGTGATGTAATCTCAAGAAACCTTGATAGAGAAGTAAGGAAGTAAGACAAGAAAGAAGGAATCCAGTAAAATGTACATTCACAAACAGCCATTGTGGGCAGCTGGAAAATAATCCCATGGGGGATTCCAGTCTGCTGTATGCACAGGCGGAGGTGGACTGCAGACTACAGAGAGATCTCTCAGTCCAAGAATCTCCAGTGCTGGCAGCTGCAAATCCAGTAGGCATGCTCCAGAATGGTTTGTTTTGGGGGGACTATGAACAAGGCACCGGCAGTATGTGTTTCAATTTTTTAAGTATTTATTTTTTTAATTAAGAAAATAAATATTTGCATAGTGCCAAGTTAAAAGATGAAGTTAGATTCTTCCATATTCCAAAGTTCACGCGAGTCAGATGTAGCTTTACTGTGGTGAAGGAACACGCAATAATATTTCCAAATATTAGCAGCCCTTAGACCCTGCAGTGCCATTGGGGCTAACCCTAACATGTTTCATACAGTATAAAAACAGAATTAATCATTGCACAATAAACATGAACACTTGCAATCTTGGCTACTGTTAATGGCTGCATTTATAAATTCAACAGTATTTTTTCCCAACATACTCCAAGGACCTTTATAAACACTTTGTATACATTTGCTTACAAAATCCTTTAAAACCAAATCAATGCTTTATCTTTTCCATGCCTCAGGCCAGGAAAAACCCACGTATCTCTGATATTATACAGAAATACACCTATTCTCAATGGACATAAGCATCCTTTACTCTTTCCCTCTCTTTCTCTCACTCTCCTTTCTTCATTTCTCTACCCCTCTTTCCATGAAGTCTTTAAAGAAAAAATAAATTAATTAATTGCTTCTCCTTTAATTTAATCAGAAGTATACCACCCACAAGATTGCGTATAGTTTTTAAAAGGATTGATCTTTATAAGAAAAATAAATCATGATGCTGTGAGTCTGGACTTGACGGCCCTAAAAAATGTCAAAATGCATGAAGCAGCAGTTAATTCTTATCAGTAGAGAAAGCAGGACCTATAATTCTATTTAGAATAAGGCACTCTTGGGAGGCCGAGGCGGGCGGATCACGAGGTCAGGAGATCGAGACCATCCTGGCTAACATGGTGAAACCCCGTCTCTACTAAAAATACAAAGAAATTAGCCAGGCATGGTGGCAGGCGCCTGTAGTCCCAGCTACTCAGGAGGGTGAGGCATGAGAATGGTGTGAACCCGGGAGGCAGAGCTTGCAGTGAGCTGAGATCACGCCACTGCACTCCAGCCTGGGCTACAGAGTGAGACTCCGTCTCAAAAAAAAAAAAAAAAAAAAGAATAAGGCACTCAAAATGAATAACCAATAATACTCCATTTGCCTGGTCTATTTTTTTCTACTTCATATATAATCCAAATACTTCTCTTTTAATTTTCATAGCACTGTTGTTAATTGCAAGAAAGAGCTTCTATAAAGTTAAATTATAAAGCTTTACACTATGAAGTGTATTTTTTTAAAAAAGCAACAAGTAAATATATCATGTGAGCAAATATAATCATTACTGATGGCTGTAATCATGCTGCATATGTAGGTACAGACATAGGTTGCGAGAGTTTTCTTGGTTGATGAAAATTGCTCATATTAAGTTATATACATGTATATAAAATAACTAGCTAATTTTAAAAGGCTCTTTAATTCTTTTTTAAAAAAGGAAGAATACAGATATAGTCTGTAAATTCTAAGCATTCAGCCGTAGACAAAAATAATCTGGTTGTCTCCTCATAACATGAAATGTTTTCATTAGGAATTTAATTCACTGAATGTCTTGATTTCTCTACACTTAAGAAGATTTTATGTTGTGCCTGTATGATACATTTCTTCCTTGCCGTAAGATGTTATTTTAAAAGGCGGAAATGTAGTATGGTATAGGCAACATGCTGCTTTTTCCCCGTGTCTACAAACACAGACTTCAATATAATTAAGGGGGAAAAAACAAAACAAAACTTGCTTCAATATAGAATTGTCACATACAAGAAACACACAAATACAAAGATGTCTATTAATTTGTAGAAAAATCCTTCTCCCTTTCAGCCAGACCACACAGTTTAGCAATAAACATGATACTTGTGGCTATGGGAAATTTCTAGTTTCACTTTCACTTTATTGAAAGTGTTCTCATCTTGTGATTATTCTTCCATCTACCGTAATAATCCTTTGTGGCATGCTACATGGTTACTGTGCAGGGATGCTATCCTCATAGGAGCACGAATTCAGGAGTACATAAGAATAAGAAGCATCTGTCCAGGCTAAAATCCATTAAAATCACCAATTCCATTGTCTAAAGCCAAATGCAATAAATATTTTTAAGAAAATAAGATACTGAGATATAATTGTTCCTAAGTGTTCCAGTTTTTCTAATTATTAAAAAGACATCCTTAGGGTCTAGGTACCCATCAAGGTGTAAGAACCCACAAGCACAGTTACAGCTGACGCTTAGGTGTCCACGAGTCAAATCAACAGGATTGAGACAGGAAATGAAGAGGTACATAATTCTCAGGGTGACTGGTGATATCAAAGCAGAAAATAAGCCATAGAAAAAACAAAACTATGAGTTTCCTACTTGATCTATAGGGAATTTCTCAAGGGGTATAACGAATTGTAAGTTTTAAACCCTTCTGTAAGGTACAGACCAATACAAAGCACCAAGCTGGATTGAGATGCTCCTCAACTCTTCCAGAGAATCATGTGCTTGCTGATAAAAAGTAGCACTTAAATGTTAATATTAAATAGTCCAACAATGTAATATATAAATCATGTCTCACTCCTTTCTGCACTCTAAATGCTAGCACTACTGAAAATAGCTTTGAGATACATTGGCTTGCCTGATGTCCAGTTTCAGGGTAATTGAGAAACATTTAGGTTATATCTCCCAAGGCAAAGAGAGAGAGCTAAAAATAATCTATTCTGTCTGGATATTTTAGGTCTAAGGAAAATACTTTCCCCACGGGGTAGCTGAGCTCTCTAATATCAAGGACCCCAAGTCTCCACCAGGAGCATCTGAATTATCTACATAATTGCTCTAATTACCCAACTTTGTCAACACAACCTTAATATCCTCTTAGATATCTCCTAATACTCTGAATTATCTTGAATGCCAATAAATCCAGTTTGTTTACTTTGAATGCTTCGTTTGGGAAAAATAAAACATTTACTTCATCAAAGCGCATTTAATTCAAAAAAAAAAAAAAAAAAAAACTTCAAAAAATTGTTCCAAATTGCTAAAATACTTAGGCTTCCCAACTGTACCCACTCTGAAAAGTTTGATGACTAGGTTAAACAGTCATAGAAGGCTCTTTTAAAAACAGTCATCAAGCACGATTTAAACCACTGTAGTTCCGGGAAACCAGTCCTCGAATGTTCATCAAGATGGTGTTGCTCAAAAAGGTTCAATTAGATTAGAAAAGAAACAGAAACAAATATGGGTAATTAATTTATTAATAGCTTGATTGTTACTAGGATTTTGAAAACGTGGGCTCTGTGGCAGGGAGACATGCACACACAGTTCTAATTAACACCAATCACAAACGCTAATGGTAGAACCTACTGCTTAAGTAAATGAACATCCTTACCCCTGCTGCTTTGAAGAGTCTGATAGGCATGCACTTTATTGACAAAGTAAGCTAATTTACAGAGTGATTGTCCAAGAGGGAACTGCTGTTTATTTGCAGAGTTTTTCCCATTGAACTCACAGGGCAAACATTGCACTTAAATTGTTAATTAAAATATCAACAGATAAAAATGTAAACATTGGGTTTTCTTCAGAGTAGAGTGACATATACTCATTCAGAACCAAATGCCCTCCTGATCATTGATTTCTGAGGAATGAGAGTAAGTTCTCTGAAAAGGTTAGGAGGCTGAGCTTGATTTGTACCCAGAAAAGAAAACTTATTAGGATAAAATCACAAACACTGACTCAGCTTGTTGACATAGAGTAGCCAGAAACCTAAGGAGGTCTCTACTTTTTTTTTTTTTTTTTTTGTATTATGCCTTTAGTGATAGCCATCTGCACTTACCAGATGTGAGCTTCCTAAGAAGAGCTTAAAAGTGGAGTGAAGGCAGGCTGCCGGTGGAATGTTCTTCTTACAAAATCATCACAAAGGTCAGGAAAGAAAGAGGCCCAGTATCTACTTAGCTCCAAAACAAAGTGACTGTAGCTTGAAACAACAACAAAAAGTGTTGGGCTTTTACTGACAACGTACAATTTAATTCTGGAAATCAAGGCTGTATTACTGTGAAATAGAAAGGTAAGTGAATAAATGCACCATAGTTTGATTTGTTTTCGTTGGTTTCTAAGGCATTCTGTCTATCCTATCTCCTTTGTCTACATACCCAAGAGAGATTCTTACTTAGTTCTTCCCTTAGAATGGAGAAGGTGCATCCTTGCTATTCTGACTCAAGACTTGGGTTAGTTCTGGAAATGGACCTGGTGATAGAGGAAATACAACCTTCAATGATATACAACTCAGTAATGTTCCTGAAATTCACTTCTCTGGGCCTAACTTTTCTTTTCAAACTGGATTTTGAAGAAACTCAGATGTGCTTCAGGAATTGTAAGGCAAAGCAGAGGGAGGAGGATTCCAGATATCCATTGCATCCACCGGAGCAGCACATTGTTAATCTGTATTCAGTACCAGTATTCTATCCAATAGCTTATGTGAAGGAAGGGCCCCACAGCTGGGGGAAGACAGGGGTTGGGTGTAAGGGATGGGGGAAATTAGGAGAAGAGGCTCCTTTACTAGAAGACTTCACATTTCCCCTTAGCTATATAACTAATAGTCTATATATTTTTACATTCTTTTATTTACTAATTTTTAAAATTGGTACATTGTAATTGTACATATTTATGGGGTACGGTGTGATTTCTTGATATATCTCTATGTTGTATAATGATCCAATCAGGGACCATTAGAGCATACTCTATATTTCTAAGTGACTATTTTAAATGGCAGACATCTTTAGAAGTATGTGTGTGGGTGTGCACGCACACGCATGAGAGCAGGAGGAGAGAGATTGAGAATTTGAACTGATGAGCTTACTTGCTGATATGCCTGTTCCTTATCACATGGGAAATAAGAAGGACAAACTAACTGCCAAGTGATTGAATGTTGTGGATTGCCCATTTCCCCACTGTACTTTAAGAAGTATTAAAGCAAATACTTCACCAACCAAACAGAACAAACAAAATAACTTATTCAATGCTCTTCAGTGGATTCGGGAAGTGAGCTGATGAGCCATTTGTTATGGTTTTCTCATCTGTAAAATGCCATCCTCACCAAATAGAATTATTGTGAAGATGGAATAAAGCACTTATAAAATTTCAGCATTTGGAGGTACCTTAGGGCTCATCTGTTGAAGCTTTTAATCCAGTGCTATCCAATAGAACTCTCAGGTGAAGTCACAAATGTAAGCCACACCTGTAATTTTAAATTTTCTAGTAGCCTCATTACATAAGTTAGAAAAAGGTGAAATTAATGTTAGTAATATATGTTATTTAGCCCAAATTCAAAAATATTTTCATTTTAACATGTAACCAATATAACAATGGTTTAGATTACATGTTTGTTTTTTTTTTTGCAAGAAGGAAAGCTAAATAAGAGATTATATATTTTTTTCACAAAGTTTTTGAAATCTGGTATGTTATTTTAGACTTCTATCTCATTGCAATTTGAGCTTAATCATATTTCAATTGCCGAGTGGCCACATGTAGTTAGTGCCTATGGTACTGGAGAATAGAATTCTGTTTTGAGTGATCTGCATGCAGGTAAGGTATATTCAAACAATTCATTTCTCTCAAAAAATAACTATAAGGGAAACTAAAGTCACTACAGATATTCTAGCAATGAGAGGGCTTAATCAGGGCCAAAACCATTCTCTGTACACTTGTCAGTATCTCCACCAGCACAAGACTCTCCCAAGGCTGCTCTCCAGGCTTTTTGGGACAAGCTCAAGGGTCAGGAGACAGTGCTGAGGAAATGGAGCTGTCCAGAGCTAGAATGGTTCCTGGAAGAGTACCAGTGACATCCCTGGGCCCAGCACCCAGGTGATTTGCCTCTCCTGCCAGCCTGCAGGTGGTGTGGGTAGCTAAAATAATGGCGACTGAAACTCAAAGTCCTTCATGACAAGAAAACTTTTAGGTCATTAGTAATAGTTGAAAACCAAGTTCTTGTTAACTTTTTATCAAACCTT